>NC_000007.14:151882622-152034137 GCF_000001405.40 Homo sapiens
ATAACCTTGGACCGTCTAAGAGAGACCAACTAAGAACATCTTAGCTGCCTTGGTCTATTTGCCTGTGACACAAATGGAGAGAGCAATGGTCTGTATATGCAGGAAGACAACAACAGCTCAATTTTACAACTCTTAGAAAAACTAAACAGCAAGTTCTGGGCTCAGGACTCTGTAAATGCTTTGATAACTTATTGAATACCAAGCTAAGGGGGTGTTATCTAATTGTGAAAAACAGGGCAAATAGTCACATTCCAGTTTTTATTTCCTTTAAGCTTGGGCAATGGTTGTGTAACCTTGTGATGGCTTTTGCTCCCTGGTACAAATGGAGTCATTAGTATCAATCCACGCAGAGAAGTGGAGGCAGGGGCCCAGGACCAGCAGGAACACTGCTTTGGGACAACACATCTCCTGACTGCCTGACTGCCCCTTTCTGGGTCCATTTTATTTTCCCGGGCACCTGTGCCAGCCACCTCCTTGGTCAGTGCTCCAGGTAGCTCTTCATCCATGATGCCAGTCAACCATAAGGAAGTCCTCATCGTGAAATCCAAGAAGTACTTTGGATTAAGGTAAAGGTGAACCCTGTAGCAATGTTCTCCCAAACGACAGATTTGCTGTGCATATCTTCTCTCTAGAGAATAGCTTCGTGTCTTGGCCAGCTCTGTACCTAAGCACACACTCAGCAGTTCTACAGAATGACAGATTCACCAAACAGGGCATGTGTATCCACAAGCGCTGTGCAGTGAGGAGGTGTCTGTTTGCTAAATAATAGAATAGGGAATCCCCAGCAATGATGCCCCCTTCCTGACTAAGGGTAGCCGTCATGTAAACAGCATTAGTTGGGAATAAAGTCTTTGGTTCTGCTAACAGCTGCCTTTATAATTGTTTTGCAGAGTGTCCCATGTGACTTTTATCCTAGTGATCCGGCATTACCTCCCACTGGGGTGGAAGATTTGGTCTCCCTGGGCTGCAGAATTTGACTAAAGGTCTGTGTGTGTTGGTTCTTGACTTAGTTATGAGCTCTCAACATGCAATAAACATCCTGATTAACCTTGGGAAATCTGAATACTACTATTACCTGAATATGGCTCTTGACTGGTTTCTGACCTCTCACCCATCTATGGGCACATGATTAAGTAATGCAAATTAATTGTAATAATTTCCCAAGCAAATAAAATTATTTTGGTAATGATATTGGCCTCAAAGTTCGTACATTGCAATGCAAATCTGACTGTTCACTTACATGAGAGGGTCTGTCTGAAGCTCTGGTTTGCCTGCACCACTGATACCATCCATTCCAGTGATATGCAGCTGATACCCAGACCTGGTCTCTAGAATGCCAGTCATGGCTTCTCAACAAGACTCCAGAAAAAATAGATTTGCATGCTATGCCTTCGGACTTGGCAGCATTTGCAGAGCAGAGCGCCAGCTCATGTTCCAGAGGACCAGGTGCACAGAGGCAGAGACCCACTGACCTCCAAGCCGTGCTAGAGAGGCACAGCATCATCCTGACTCTCTGAAGAAGCTGTGTTCCTCCCAGAAGCCACTGACAAACCCTGAGCTAGACTCAAGCATGACCTTTCCAGAATTTATCTCTGTCCCTGTTCACTAGCACTTTATGCCATAATCAATAAATACGCATTTGGTGCATGCCAAAGCCCTCAAAGATGGTTAGTTCAAAAACTCTAGCCATGCAGGTGGTTCTCAAGGACATAATGGTTTATGACAACACTCCCTGTGCCATGTGGGTCAAAAGGTAATTTTTAAAATGTTCCTAAATCTAACTCCTAAGAATTGTGTGAGGTCTTGGGACAGTGAGGAACTTTCCAAGTAGAACTCTGTACCATGGGCTTGCATAAGGTTCTTTGAGATCATTGCAACACATGCTCCTGATAGCACCATTGTACGAAAGGTCTTGCCTTGTTTTTTTCTAGCCCCACTTATTGTAGCTTTTTACTCTCTAGGTCAAAAAATAAAGCATAATTACAAAACTAAGTTCATTGTTCTTTGACCTGCATGAGAGAACATTTTCCTGACACTGTAAAGCTTATGCGCCCATGACCTGAAGGAGTTGCCAATATCTTACAGGGATGGAAGCAGACATTGCTTTGGGTATCCGAAAGGTATCTGTGAAGGAGTGGGTGGGGTTCATTGCCAAAGCACAGCATTCGCCAAAGGCCCCCGGTGCTCACTGTGGTCAACACTGAGGCCAGCAAATTTGTCTGTGATTCTTGCAGTTAGGACGCAAGGAGAGCAGCTGTTTCTCATGGAGCTTCAAGGAGAGTCCGCCTCGGTAGGACCATTGGTTTCAACCCTATTCTTTATCTTTCAGGTTTAAGAAGCTGGTGCAAACTGTTCACCAAGATGTTCACTGACACATCTCTAGAACGGTGTCATGGTAACCATTTCCCCAAAGACTGACTTACGGTCCAGTATGGGGCTGTGCTCATTTGCGTGGGGATCTATTTTTGTGTGGCCGGTTCCCTCTGCTCTTAGATCCATTCCCTGACCTGCCCGGCTATGGACTGCCAGGGCCTCTAGTCCCAGGATCTTTCACCAACTGGTGTCCGGCGAGCTTTGGCCAATAGGAGAGAATGGAAGAGTAGGAGGGCAACAGAAGCCAGGGGATTCTTCTGCTGTTATTTTGCCTTGAGCAGCATCATGGGAAGCATTTCCTGCCTCTGTGGCTGTGGCCCCACTAGCCTGACCCTCCCTCAGTGGGCCCAGCGTCTGCCGGGCAGCCTTGACTGTGGCCCTAGAGTCACGGAATACTCGAGCAGACCTCTGACGGACATGGTGGGGTGAGCCATGTGGGTCGCTGGGGAGAGGATTCCAAAACAGAAGGGTGAGATCGGGGTGTTTGAAGTTGGTGAGAGAAAGAGTGGTAGGACTTAACATATTGGACAGTAAGGGCCTTGGCTTTTATCTGAGTGAGATGAGATCATGTTGGAGAACATCAACTAGAAGAATGACACAATCTGATTCACGTTTTTAAAGGACCTTAGCAGCCTGGCTGCTATGGAGAGAAAAGACTGTGCAAGCAACAGGGAAAGAACAGGGGAGCACAGTAAGAAGGCCATCGTGTCATCAGGCAGGAGGTGACAGTGCTCAGGCCAGGGTGGGAGAGGAGCAGTGGCAAGAAGGCATTGTTATTTCTGGATATGTTTTGAAGACAGAATCCCCAGAATTTGCTGATAGATTGGATGTGGGGTCTGAGAGGAGGAAAGGGCAGCATGGGAGCACCTGGAATGATCCCACTTACTGGGACGGCAGGGGCAGGGAGGGGCTGGGGAAACAGTTTGCTTTTGGATACAGTAAACTTCAGACATACATCAAACACCCAAGTGAAGAGTCCAGAGAGACAGGGGTCAGGGTGACAAGAGACGCTTGTTTGGAAGTCGTCAACCAAGGGATGGAATTTAAAGCTGTGAGGTGGGAAGAGATGGTCTAGGATGAGAATGTAGACAGCAAAGAGGTTGGGACTGTACCTCGCAGCCTCCAACAGCTGGAGGCTGGGGAGATAAGAAAGAGCCAACAAAGGGACCAGGAAAGAACAGCCAGGGAGTCATCAGGGAATTGGGAGAAAGTGGCCTGCAGAGAGCAAGGGAGAGAAGAAGCAGTGAGTTAGAAGAAGAGGCAGAGTTGATGGTGACCTGGAGGCCACTGGTTAGCTTGCAGGAGCAGAGGAGCTTGAGAGCAGTAGCCTGCTGGGACTGGCTCTGGACATCCAGAGGAAAGGACGTGGTGAATAGTGAGAACTATTTCTAGGAACTTTGCTGTATGAGGGAGCAGAGAATGAGGTGGTGAGCAGGGAAAAATGTGGGTCAAGAGAGGGCTTTTTTTTTTTTTTTTCACGTGAGGGATATGGCCAGGCACGATGGCTCATGCTTGCAATCCCAGCACTTTGGGAGGCCAAGGCTGGTGGATCACCTCAGATCAGGAGTTCAAGACCAGCCTGGGAAATATGGCAAAACCCCATCTCTACAAAAAATTCAAAAATTAGCCAGGTGTGGTGGCACACGCCTGTGGTCCCAGCTACTCAGGAGGCTGAGGTGGGAGGATCGTTTGAGCTCAGGAGGTCAAGGCTGCAGTGAGCCAAGATCACACTACTGCACTCCAGCCTGAGTGACAGAGTGAGACCCTGTCTTAAAAAAAAAAAAAAAAAAGATGGGGGATATTACGGCATGTTTGTGTGCTAACAACCCTGTAACATTCAGGGGAGGGAGTTGTGTCGACGGTGCGGGAAAGAGAGGGGAAAACCTCATAGACAAGAGAGATGAGCTGAACCAGCGGCGTGGCCGGCCGCCAACAGGTGGGAGATGGGACAGATCACCCAGGTGACTGGAAGGGACCGCGTCGAATGCAGCCTGGGAGACACAGTCAGGGAGCTTGTGAGGCTCTTTCCTGAGCGCTTCTGTTTTCCCCGTGAATAAGAGGCAGTGCCACCTGTGGATGGGAGGTTTGAAGGGCGAGAAAAGGTGAGACGGACTCTGGAGGGGAGTGGGAGGCTGAGGTCCATGTGGACATTCTCCCCCCACAGAGGAGGCCTGCTGTTGATGATGTCCTCTATCTTTTCTTCCAACTCAGCAGTAAGTCTTGAAGATTGTGTATATCCTTTCATAGAGAGCTGCTTCATTCCTGAGAATGGCTGCCTAGTATTCCATGGTACGAGCATTGCATAATTTATTATCATTACTTATGTATTACCTTGTATTTATGTGTGCAGTCCTCTACTGATGAAAATGTAGGCTGTTTCCAATGCTGGAATGCTGTGCACATGTCATTTCACACATTTTGGAGTGTGCCGAAGGACAAATGCTTAGACAGGGACTTGCTAGAACAAGGTGTGAAGACATGATTCAGTTTCATAGACCAGTGATTTGTTTTCCTTGGGACGTTCATCCGTTTGCACTCTCACCCACAGTGTATGAACACGCCTGTCTCTCTACACCTTCATCGACACAAATCTATTTCTAACTTTTTGATATTTGCCCACCTCTTAGGTGAAAATAGTATCTCGCACTTTTACTGTGTATTTTTCTTGTGATAAATAAGAATGCACATCTTTTTACACATTCGCGTGTCTTTTTTGAGTTCTCTTTCTGTCTGTTGTCTATTTGTGATTTTTGCCTATTCTCCTATTGGGTAGTGGATCATTTTCTTATCTACTTATAGGCACTCTTTATATATAAAGAGATTAGCTCCTCATCAGTGGGTGGCAAATATTTCTTCCCAGTTATTTTTTGTCTTCTGACTTTGTTTATTATGCCTTTTCTCCATGCAGGATTTTTTCTTTTTATATGTTTTATTTCATTAATTTATTTGTTATGGCTATTTGGGGTTTTCTGCCATATTTAGAGAAGCCCTTCCTACTTCAAAATTATTTTTAAAATCTCTCCCATATTTACTTCTGCATTTGTACTGTTTCCTTTTTTTAACATAAAAAATCATATTACATTTAAATCTTTTTTTTTTCTATATGGCATTTATTCTGGAAAAGATGTGAAGCAGTGGAGGAGGAGATAGACTTTCACAGTAATTTCTGTCCTATTTATTGATGTTGGGCAGGAGGCCTGGGCCCCGGTCCTGGACCGGCGACCATCCCATGCCAGACTTGGCAGGCACGTGCCTCTCTGAGCCTCCACCGCCTTCATCTGTGAAGTGAGACCGCCAGGTGGGGTGATTTCCAAGGTCCTTGCCATCAGACCGTCGAGGAGTCTGTTGAGGATGCTCTCTCCCTTTCTCTCTGGACTCTTGGAGAACTGAGTCGGACACCAAAGTTTGTGTGGTGAGTACAAGGAGTGGCTGCCTTGTCTTCCCGCACTCAGGCAATAAATACTTATTGAGCGCATGCTGTGCGATGAGTCACCAGAAACCCATCTGCACTGATTGAGCCGCCAAATGCCCATCCTACTGATGGCAGATCAATAGGGCCCTTCCTCTACAGGAGCCTGGGAGTGATGATCCAGTGGACATGCAGACAGGAAAATACCAGCTGAACCCACTCCCACCACAGAGTGAGAAACACAGGCGTGGAGGATTTTCCATTTCACGGTGTGTTCATGGATGTCAGCTCATTTCATTCTTACAGTAAGAATTATATCCCCACCCCTACCCTGCCACACACAAATACAAGGTTTGAAAAGGCTGAGTGACTTACACAGCGGCCCTGTTGGAGATCACCAGGCTAACAGCCATCAGCGGCAGGTCAGAGCCAGGGTGTTGTGGCTCTGCACGGAGCCCCACATGCCGATTTAATGGGCTCTGCCATGGCTAACGTTAAATGTCAATGTGGCCAGGCTGCGGTGCTCAGCTGTTTGGTCAAATGCCGGTCACATGCTTCCGTGAAGGCCTTTTTCAAATGAGATGAACGTCTAAATGAGTGGACTGAAAACAGATCACCCTCCATCCTCCACAGCAGGGTGGGTCACATCCAGTCATTTGGAGGCCATGGGAGAAAAGACTCAGATGCCCCAGGGAAAAAGGAATTCTGCCTCCAGACAGCCTTCTGACTCAAAGCTACAACCTCAGCTCGCACCTGAATTTCCAGCCTGCTGGCCTGTCCTGCAGATTTCAGGCTTGGCAGCCCCCATAATCACAAGCTCGTCCCTTAAAGTGAATCAATCTTATCAATCTCTCTCTCCTCTGTGTGTGTGTGTGTGCACGCGGTGGGAGGGAGGGGAGTAAGTTTAAAGAATGGCTGCGATATACACATATATAAGTATATGTATGTACATTATACATACACACATACATATACAAACACTATTGCCTCTGTTTTTCTGGAGAACCCTAATATACTTTTCCTCCCAGGAAAGTAATTACTAATGGTGGAATTTCAGCCTCTGCAGAAGAAGTAGGGGCCAGGGCTGCGGTTCCTTTTGGTTGCTTCCCTAATGACACCACCCAGGGACGTGCCTCTGTGTGCGCTGGCCTTGGGACTTTAAAGAGGTGCACAGGAAGGAGCCTGGGCTCTGGAGTCAGACCTGCCTGGCTGCTTGCTGCTGGTGTGACTGCAGGCAAGCCACGTAGCCACTGAGCAAAAAGGAGAGAAGGATGCCCAGGTGTTTGCAGGCAGCAGGGCTGGCAGAGGCTCCACTCACATTCGTTCCTGTCTCTTCCTTGATGTTAGTGCAAATACCAGACACACAGCTGTAGCACCGTCAACGTGGTTTGCTTTCCAGAATCTTCTGGAAAATTGCAAAAAGTCCACAATTTCCTGGGCACATGCCCTGTTGCCCTCTGAAGCTAATACACCTGGCCCCCAGAGGCCACCCTCACCGCAGAAGAGAGTGTGTTTCCTAGAAGGCTGTTCCCGTGGGTCCAGGGCAGCCGGGGACCTGGCACCTTGGAGTTAGGAGCAGCGTTTCTCAGAGTGGCCCTCAGGCCCTGCTTCAGAGGGTCCAGGAGGTGCCTGGGCTCCTTCCCCAGGCTGTGGTTGGGGGATTTGGGGTAGGGCATGTGTATGCATGTGTGTGTGCTTGTGTGTGCATTCATATGTGTGTGCATTTGTGTGTTCGTGTGTGCGTGTGCATGTGCAAAAGTGTGTACATGTGTGCATGTGTGTTCGTGTGCGCATGCGTACGTGTGTGCATGTGTGTGTGCGTGTGGACATGTGTGAGCGTGTGTGTGCATGTGTAAGCATGTGTGTGCACTCACGTGTGCATATCGTTTGAGATCCACTGCCCTGGCCCTTCCTCTGCTCCTTCTCCTGGGAAGTATTTTGGGAACCAGAAAAAAAGCAGTCACACATTTTGCATCTGTCTTTCCTGCTAGAGAATTGCAGGTGCTGTGTTGAGCCACCCTGCTGTCACCTGACAGGCTGTCAAGGATGCTGTGGAGAACGCCCTGCGCCACAGAGGCTCTGGGCAGCAGAGCAGGGCTGCCTCCCACCTCACTGCGTGGGCGGAGCTCCTTCTCCCAGGGAGGGGAATGTGGAGAGGGGATGCCAGCCTACTTCCCCTTTCCATTTCATGCCGGTGATATTTGCTGTTATTTGGACTATTATTGCAAACATCTTCAGATCTTTGCTGAAGAGAGACTATGCCATGTGAGGTGTAACAGTGGGGGTGTTGGTTGTTATAGGAATTGCTGATTTTACATGAGTCTTTTTCCAGTGACTTTTCGATAACTGAATGACGGAATGAGCTCGAGGCCCATAGATGTGATCTACTTCAGGGCCAGGCAGAAAGAAGGGACTTTTATTCAGTCAGAAGCGGGATCACGTGGGATTTGAGAAGAGTGATCCTTAGCAGAGCTGGGCTTTGCGCAGGGGACTCTGGAGGGAGAGGAGACACAGGGGCTGTTTGGGTCAGGGCTCCAAGGAGAAGGGCACAAGGCCACTATGGAGAGTGCTGTTTCTACCGGGAACTCTTGGAGAGGACTCCATTTTGTTACAGCGGCCAGGGCTCCATGGGTGCTAACCACCTTGGGGATTTGATAGTTTGAAACAAACAAACAAAAAGACATACGCTAAGATCTCTAGAGAGAAATTCCTGTTCGGTCTTAAACCAAGAATAGTTGTCTTTCTCCTGAACTCTTGGTCTGTTTGTATCTTGTGAGTCCTAGAGCTGACTGGAACATAATCACCCAAGCTGTGGCCCACCCACAGCAAGTGCGTGCTCCTGGCTTGACGTATACACACATCTGCTATTGGAGGAAATTACCTCTCCCAGCACAGTATTTAGGTCTGGTAGGGGACGCTGGTATTCTGCCTCCCTAGTCCCTGGCTCAGCCTGTCATAATCACCCCCAGTCGGGAGACTTGGTCTTGGTGGCCAATCAGAGCCTTCCTTGTGACTCTGGCGCTGACAGAGCCCTTTCCATTCTTATCTCGAGGCAGTTAGACTTCAGCCTGGCACTACCCCTGCTCCAGGGACGGCCAGACTGGGAGCCAGGGTACAGTACTCAGAGATGGGAGGAACAGCAAAGCCTGGGTTCCTGTCATCCTTAAGACCAATCCCTCCTCTGCTTCTCCCTGTGAGTCAAGAACATTCCCATATTTTCTTAAGATAGTGTGGGATTCCTGTCTCCTGCAATGCAAGAGTCCTAACGAATAAACTCACTTTTAGTTAACTTAATCATGTTGTCATTTTTGTCCATTTGTAGGTTATTCTTTCTAGAACAAGTGGAGGAGGTAAAGAAGCGTGGCAGGGAGGAGAGAAGCAAAGAAGGAAAGACACGTTGTGTCAGCAGAGCTATAACTAACATGAGTACCTGTTACTGAGCTGCTGCAGCCTCTCCTCTGCCCCACAGCCCCCACAGCCTTCATTGTGGTCAGGTAGCCCTGCACTCCTGCGATCCCCGGGCAGCATCAGGGCGGGAGCAGTGTTGAACAGGGAATGACTTTGGTTTTATCACAAAGCCTCCATGCTGGGTGTCTGTGGGGACGGCAGACTTGTGGTTCATAAAATCCCGAGTCTTTGGGTGGGTGGGCTTCTGACTCCGATTGGTGCTTGTGGGATGCCAGAGTCATTTCCAGGCTCAAGTAAAGCAGAGGCATTGGATCTTCTTGTTACTCTGGGGATTTAGACGAATAACTGGTGGAACTTGAGTGCATTAATCTTCCCCTATAGGAAAATAACTTTTCCCTTTGTAGTCGAAGAGAGCCTGACTAAAGCTTACTAATAACTGGGATTAGCAATGTCCATTAGTAATTTTTCAAGTTACTTGAGCAAGAAAAAAAATAGCGACTGCAGAAGCCAAAACTCAGAACCATCAGCTGATGTTGGTCACTTACTTTGACAAGCATAATTCAGATTCCATTTATTTATGGTTAAATTCCCGCAGCACTGTAACCAGATAACTCTGGGCTGAGGGGATGGGCTGAGGAGTGAGGAAAAATAAACCTACTTTCCTTTTGGTGTACTCTTACCTGTTCCTCATTTGTTTGACCCTAGTATCTCTTTCCATTTTAAAATTCAGATTCACAAAATGGGCCAGGTGTGGGGGCTCACGACTGTAATCCCAGCACTTAAGGAGGATGAGGCGGGCAGATCACTTGAGGTCAGGAGTTCACGACCAGCCTGGCCAACATGGGGAAAGCCCATTTCTACTAAAAATACAACAATTAGCCGGGCGTGGTGGCGGGTGCCTGTGATCCCAGCTACTCGGGAGGGTGAGGCAGGAGAATCGCTTGAACCTGAGGGGCTGAAGTTTCAGTGAGCGGAGATAGCACAACTGTACTCCAGCCTGGGCAACAGAGCAAGACTACGTCTCAAAAATGAACAAACAAAACAGATTAACAGAATGGTTGATCCTAGGACTACATGAGATTGCAAAGTATCCTGTCTTGTGTTCACTTCTACCCATTTTACTTTTATTGAGAGTGAGGGGGAGAATGTCACAGAATACAAACACCAGCATTATAATCTTCCACTGGGAAGATCCACATGTACTCGAATGATTTTCCCAATGCTCAAAATATTTTAGAACTTCTTTAAAAAAAAATGTAGCACCACTTTGTGAAATGAAAAATAGCAAAAATGTCCATTTCAATAAACTTGTGGTGGAATATTTGCGAAGAAGCTTAGCAACATCACCAGCATAGAAGAGGCATGTAAATGATCCCGTTGAAATTCCCGCAGCAGGTCAAAGTGAACTCCCTTTATTCCAGTCTCTGTCCACATCTCTCCAGTCGTGGATTTTACTCTAACTGACCCTTATCAATGAAAAACTGGATCTGCTTCAGACTGAAATCCTAGCATCACAGGGATTGCTCAGTTCAGCTCTCTCTTAATACAAACAAACAGTTTGCCTCCCTGTTTTCTACTCTATCTGTACAGTCATGAGGCCATGCCAAGATGGGATTAGATGTGCAAGAGATTTAATGGAAGGAATGCCTGTGAAGGGTAAAGGGAGAAAGAGCAGGAGTGGGTTCAGACCTCCGGGGAGCCTGACACCTGGAAGGAAGGATTGGGTAGGAAGGGCCTCCAGCCTGCAGCTCAGTTCTGAGCAAGTCTCGGCCAGACCGGGGTGGGGGGTCACCAAGCACATTCTTCAGTTAGAGGATGCTGGGAAAGGGAGGAGTGGGCTGGCTCTGGGCTGCCACCCTGCCCTGTCCTTGCTTGGGGACAGGTGGGGAGAGTGTGAAGGACCCAAGAGAGGTTCTGGGCTGTCAGTCAAGGATGCCAGACCCCCAAGTGCCTGCATTGTGATTCTCCCCCGGGATGGCTGTGACCCCCCGCTGCGTCACCCCCCACCTCCACACCACCAAGGCTGTGGCAGGTTCTCAGGGAGGAGACCCTGGTGGCCACCGCCATGGCTGTGGCGTCATCTCTGAGACCACCCAGAACCCCGCCTGCCTCACATCCTCCTCCAACCTCATTCCCTGATGCTCCTCAGCAGTATTTCCCCCAAAGGTCAGGCAGGCTGGCCTCTCTGGCCTCTGTGTATGATGTTATGGGTTAAATTGTGTCCCGTGAAAAAGCATGTTGAAGCTCTACCCCCAGGACCTATGAATGTGACCTTATTTGGAATAGGGTCTTGGAGATGTGATCATGTAAGAGGACGTCACACTTGATGAGGGTGGACTCGAATCCAATAGTCTTTAGAAGAAGGGAAAACAGACACAGGCAGAAACCCACAGGGAGAAGCTTGTGTGGCGACAGACGTGGAGATTGGCATGATGCTCTGCAAGCGGAGGGACGCCAGGGGCTGCCTGCAGCACGAGGAGCTGGAGGAGGCGGGGAGAACCCTCCCATGCAGCCTTCAGAGGGAGCGGGCCCGGCCCACACCTTGACTGCAGACTTCGGCCTCCAGAACTGTGAGAAAAGAAAGTTCTATTGTTTTAAGCCACCTGGTTTGTGGTGCTTCCTTACCCAGGTCTTTCTTAGCTGCCCTCTGTGCCTTTGTCCGGGCCCCCTGCTGCCTGGAACACCCTCTCTTCTCTCCCACATCTCCCCGGCATCTGTCTCCTTCCAGGCCCCACCTGGAAGCTGCAATAAGGGCTCAAGCCCTCCCCGATCCCTCCGCCCTCTCCGATCCTCCGTCCTCCCCACTCCTCCGCCCTCTCCGATCCGTCGTCCTCCCCGCTCCTCCGCCCTCCCAGTTCCTCCGCCCTCCTGGCTTCTCTGCCCTCATCGCTCCTCTGCCCTCCCTGCTCCTCCATCCTCCCTGCTCCTCTGCCCTCCCCAATCCTGTCTCCTCCCTGCTCCTCTGCCCTCCCCAATCCTGTCTCCTCCCTGCTCCTCTGCCCTCCCTGCTCCTTCGTCCTCCCCGCTCGTCCTCCCTCCCGCTCCTCTGTCCTCCCCCCTCCTCCATCCTCCCCGCTCCTCCGCCCTCCCCGCTCGTTCGCCCTCCCCGCTCCTCTGCCCTCCCTGCTCCTCTGTCCTCCCCGCTCGTTCGCCCTCCCCGCTCCTCTGCCCTCCCTGCTCCTCTGTCCTCCCCGCTCCTTCGCCCTCCCCGCTCCTCTGCCCTCCTTGTTCCTCCGTCCTCCCCGCTCGTTCGCCCTCCCTGCTCCTGCGTCCTCCTCACTCCTCCACCTTCCCTGCTCCTCCGTCCTCCCTGCTTGTTCGCCCTCCCCGCTCCTCCGCCCTCCCCGCTCCTCTGCCTTGCTGTGTGCCCAACACTTTCACGGGCTGTGCCACACCCTTCAGGTTACGCTTAATTATACACTGACTTGCCCCATTTATTTTCCTCTCTCGCCTTGCTCCATAAGAGGCTTTTAGGCAACGACTCCTCCTTTTCTTTGCCGAGAGGTTTGTTTCTGTTATAACTTTTCAAGACTGACTCCATTGTTTATTTTTGGAGCCAACTAGTCTTAGACCTCAGACCTCAGCACACTCAACAGGCCTCAACATGTTTTGAGGGCCTGCCGGAGAAGGCCCAGGCCTCACGGGTGCAGGTCCTACAGAAACCCAGTATCTGAGAGCAGCCTCTGTCCATGTTCTGACACTGGTCAGACCACACCTGTGCAACGCTCACTCCCAGGCCGCAGGGGGCTTTTGGTCTTTTAGGACTGACTCCTTCATTTGACCAGTCATGGTGTCATGCAGACTAAAGCAAAAGCTATGAATGGTGGGATTTGGGCAGAGCCCCAGAGTTAAACCCCCTCAAGCGTCAAACTCCAGAAAAAACAATTCCAGATCTTGCCGCATGACAGTTATGCACAGAAAGGGGACATGAGGAGCCATTCCAAATGTGAATCAGAGGTAATTTGCATTCAGCGTGTCAGCAGCCACATTTAGTCCCTGTAAGCTTAATTAAGGCAGACAGTAGCTCATCTGCAATCACGGCCAGTGCATCACCAGGCTTTCATGACACACCGTGTAAGCTGGCAGAACGGCTTTAGAGGGAGCTGTGGGATGTGAGGAGCCTGCCCGGGCCCAGCTGTGCTCTCCCGGCGCCAGGTGTCTGTGTGCCTGGCCTCTGGGAGGGCTCCGGAGAGCTCCTTCTGACCTGTGACTTAGAAACTGAGGGTGCAGCATCACTATCCTTGCTACAGAATCCCAGAGGAGCCTTGGGGGCCCTCTGCTGTCATCCCCACCCTCACCCCCCCACCCCCCACTTTTCACTGAGGAAGATACTGAGTCCAGAGATGAAGAGTGACTCATTCAAGGTCACAGGGCCACAGAGAGCCATGCTGAGCCACTGCTCACAACATAGCCGGCTTCTGCTAGACAGACACCCTGCATGAAGCTTCTCCCTGAAGCCAGGCAGGTCCTGGGCTCCAGTCACCCACCAGCCCCAGCATGACTGTGCACCTGCCTCGGCTTCCTCAACCACACAATCAGCACCCAGAACACGCAGTCCTTTATTTTAAGCCTTGAAGGAGGAGGCCCATGAGGCAGCATCCTTATGATCACTGTCATATGCCACAAATCAGAGGAGGCCGCAGAAGGAAGGAACCAAGTTCCTTCATGAGGATGTCAGCCTGGCTTGGTCGTGCCTGCTGGGATGGGCATTTCAGAGAGCCACACGGCAGGAGGAAAGTCCGGCCGGAGCAGAGGGAGGTGAGGGAGGAGCAGTGAGGAGGCTCAGCCCCAGGTGTCTGGGTCCCATGTGACCCTTATGGTCACAGAAGGTACAGCAGATGTCACAACTCCAGTCGTGGGGCCCCAGGGTGGCTTCTCCCTGGATAGTTCCTTTGCCTCCTTATGCAGCAAAGGGGTCTTTGGGACTCCTTGGGAAGGGACAGCCCCCAACCTCAGGCACACCCACCACTGAGTTTGCTGGGGGGGGCCCTGAGGGCGGGCCTCTGTGTCCCTTCTGTCTGTGGGTAATGGGGTGCTCGGGTGCCCCTTTTCCAGGAGGCTGCTCATTACTAGCCCAGAGGTAGGAAGGGCCCACACCCCTCTTTACTTCACCATGAGTGGGCTTCAGAGGTAGAGTGAAAACACCCAGGCTTTCAGGGGTTGTTCCCGGGGCCAGTTGGAAGGAATGTCTTAGTGTGTTTGCGTTGCTATAAAGGAACACCTGAGGCTGAGTGACTTAGACAGAAAAGAGGTTTATGTGGCTGATGGTTCCGCAGGCTGTACCCAAAGCATGGAGCCAGCATCTGCTTCTGGTGAGGCCTCAGGCTGCTTCCTCTTATGGAGAAAGGTGAAAGGAGGCCAGCGTGTGCAGAGCTCACAGGGCAAGAATGGGAGTGAGGGAGGGGGGAGGTGGGGCTGGAGAGGGAGCAAGGGAGCTGGGAGGTGGTGCGGGCTCCTTTTCACAGTCAGTTCTCACGGGAGCTAAGAGTGAGCACGCACTCACTCCCTTGCAAAAGGCACTGAGCCACCCAGGAGGGATCCGCCCCCACCATCCAGACACCTCCCACCAGACTCCACCTCCAACCCTGGGGATCACATTCCAACAGGAGATTTGGAGGGGACAAATATCCAAACGGTATCACCGCCTCCCTCCTGGATGAAGCTGTGCCCTAAACGGTACCTGAAACCTGCCATATTCCCAAACACAGAAAAAAAAAATCATGGTTGATCTAGACAAAGATACCGCAAACGTAGCGTGCTGTCTTCAGTCAGATCAATGCACTCCCTCCAGCTCAGCAACTCCGATTTGCGTGCACAGGGTGTCTCTCCTGCCGCCTGCAGCTTAGTCGTCTAATCGTGTTTCTCACCCTTGTTTGAATAGCTCTATTATATCTGTGCTTTGTATTGTATGTGATCTCACATATTTTCCTTCTAAGTAGGACAGGTACAAATCATGCATTTTATTTATAACTCTGCAGTTAAGATCAGAATCTGACAGTGCAAAATGGCCGAGGATTATAGAGAAAAAACACTGCTGGTGAAACAGGCTGATGTGCTCACCTTGCTTTCACCCTCTTCTGGGTTTTGATAGTCTCATCACTCACACAAAGACAAATGCTCATTATGTAGTTAATTATTCAGCCAGGAGGCATTTATCGACTATAATCTCCATGTGGCCAGCACATAAGTGGCATGTTTTTTGGAGGATACAAAGAGAAAATACTGGTCCCAAATGCCCAGAGAGGGGAGAAGACGGCTCCTTTCCATGGAACATGAACACGCCAGCCCTCACTCATTAGTCCTTATAGCTGTAATTATAGCACTTTGAGAGGCCAAAGCAGGCAGATCGCTTGAGCCCAGGAATTTGAGACCAGCCTGGACAACATAGTGAGACCCTGTCTCTGAAAAAATAATAAAAAAAATCGACCTCTGATCTTTAACGCATTTTTGGTGGTAGGTGTTGTCACTACTTCACAGATGAAGAAATGGAGACTTGGGGAGATTAAACAGCATGGTAGAGATCACACAGCAGTAAATGGCAGCGCCAAGACCTCACTGCTCTGTGGGCCCCAAAGCAGCTGCCCGGCAGGGGAGCCGCAGGGGAGCCAGGCGGAGTCATCCCACTTTAGACGACTGACCCCAAGCCTAAGTGGCCCCTGCGTTGCCCAGGACACAGTAGACTCCCCAGGACCTGCTCCCCCAGATGGCCATCTTGCTGCCTGAAAAAGGCGTCCTGATCCAGACCGCAAGAGAGGGCTCCTGGGTCTTGTGCAGGAAATAATTCAAGCCGAGAATTCGGATTGCGTGAGAAGAGAGAATTTATTGAAAGCTGCTCAGTGTGCAGCCCCATCCGGGAGGACCCCTCCTGGATCCTTCTCAGCAGCCATGGTACCCTACATGCTTTCCTCTCCCACCCCCCAAAATTCCATCCTGGCCCCCATCCCCCTCCAGGTACTGCCCCCTTTCTCTGTTCCCTTTACAACAACACTCCTACAAAGTGCTGTCTAGCCTTACAGTGTCTTGGGGTTTTTTTTCCTGAGTTTCTTTTTTTTTTTTTTTTTTTTGAAATGGAGTCTCGCTCTGTCACCCAGGTAGGAGTGCAGTGGCGTGATCTCAGCTTACTGCAACCTCCACCTCCTGGGTTCAAGTGATCCTCCTGTCTCAGCCTCCAGAGTAGCTGGGATTATAGGTGCCCACCACCATGCCCGGCTAATTTTTTTGTATTTTTAGGAGAGACAGGATTTCACCACGTTGGCCTGTCTGCCAGGCTGGTCTCAAATTCCTGGCCTCAAGTGATCTCCCTGCCTCGGCCTCTCTGGAATTACAGGCGTGAGCCACCATGCCTGGCCTCCTGATTTTTCTCTAGCCCTCCTCCAATAGGACTTTCTTATCAATGCTCCATTGGAAGGTTCTAACCATCTTATCACTAAATCTGCTGGCTGGTCCTTGACTCTCATCCTACTCACCTCCCAGCAGCACCAATGGGGTGGTCTCTCCCTCTTCCTTGAAGCCCTTTATGCCCTCCGCTTCCTGATGCCACACTGTGGTTTTCCTTCTCCATCACTGGCTCACGTGCTTGTTCCTCCTGACCGACCAGTGACGGTGGCTCCAGGGTCCATCCTGGGACCTCTTGTCACTCGCTTGGTGCACTCATCCCATCTGTGGCTTCATAGATCACCTCATCAGTGATGACTCCCAAGAGGTCCATGGACTAGACCCCTCCATGAACTCCAGACCCGTATCTCCAAACACCTCCTTGACCTCTCCCATTGGGTGTCTCATAAACCTCCCGGACTGGAACCCGGGTCTCCCACCACACCCTCAGCTGGTCTTATCATCCGCTCCCCCTCTTGTATGACCTCGCCAGCCTTTCGGGGACTCAAGCCATGGCAGAGTTGCCCCAGTACATTGTTTCCTCATACCCACCTCATTCCTTCTGCATGCCCACTTCCCATCCACCACCAAACAGGTGGTCCTACTGTCAAAGCACAGCCAGAGGCCACTTGTCACCACCGCACCTGTGCCAGCCTGCTCCAAACTGGATCATCTGTCAGGTGGCAACAGGTTTCTATTTCCGCCCCCGCCCCTACTGTGATCTATTCTCAAAGCAACAGAGTGATCTTCTGTCAGAAACCCTCCGAAGGCTCTGCTTCTCGCTCACGTAAAAGCCCATGTCCCCGCAATGACCCACAGGGCCTTAAGGATCTGCCCTCCTCTCCTCTCTGAGCTTGTCTCCCCCAACTCATCCCCTCCTTCCCTCCACTCCAGAAGCTGTCGCTTCAACATGCCAGGCTCCCTCCTGCCTTGGGGACTTTGTGCTGGCTGGCCTCTCTGCCTGGAGCGTCCTTATATCTAGACACTCAGATGACTCACCTTCTCCTTCCCTGTAGTTCTCCACTCACAGGTCTCTTCTCTGTGAATCCTTCCTGGACCCCACTTTAAAATGGAAATCCCAGTACTCTGTGTGGCCGCACATACACTACAATTGGAACAATACGGAGAAGATGAGCACAGCTTCTGTGCAAGGATGACACACAGATTCGTGGTGTTCAAAAAATAGATGCATAAATAATGGAAACCCCCTTTCCTGACACTTCCTACCTCGCCTTTGCTTATTTTTCTCCTTGGCACGTGTCACCTTCTAATGCACTACCTACCTTACCTATATACCATGACTACTGTCTGCTCCACACAAGGTTTTAAGCCCCATGAGGACAGAGACGTTTGTCTGTTTTGTCCAGGCTCCAGAACCCAGTACAGTTGCCTGGCACTTAGTAGGTGGTCAATCGATGTTGAGTGAGTGAATGAATGAATGAATGAATGAATGTGACACAGGCCAAGAGCTGTGGGGCATTGTGGAGGAAGCCAGAAGGCGTGCATTCCCCACTGAGAGTGCTTCACCAAGGAAGCTTGAGCTGAGCCTTGAAGGACGGGTGAGGTTCAGTGAAATCATAATAACGGTTGGGATAACTGCTAGGGTGAGACTTGTGAAATCTTAGGCACTGCTTCTTCAGGGCTCTACTCTCAGGGAGAGGAAGGGGCAAGTCCTGGAGAAGCCAAGTGCAAGGTGGGTTCAGGAAATTGGCAGGTGAAACAGGACTCCTGGTGCACTGGGGTTTGAAATGGAGCTCCAGGGACATCCAGGGAATACCGCAAATCATTAGGTCCCTGTCATAAGCTGCCTGTGGCAACAAAATATCTTCCCTTGGCCCCAGTCAAGAAAAGAAAGTGATTCACATTGAGCGCTAGGAATCACGTAGGCCTGAAGTGCCTTCTCGTGGCTATGCCTGCCTTCCAGGGAAATCTCTTGCAGGGGAAGAAAGGAAAAGTGTGCGGATCAATCGTCAATGATTGGGCAGTGACTCCCAATTCCAGTGAAACCCTGGTAATTATGCATCGCCATGACGACCGCTGCACTCCAGACGAAGCTGCTTTTAACTCCATCAGAGGCAGACGCGCTCTGTGCACTTTTCAACCTCAGTCTGAAATGCTGAAACCACAAGCTTCGTTCTCGGAATCCCATGTAGAAAGCCAGAACTCCACCTTCAGGAAAGGGAGGGCTCGGGGACACATTCCCACCCTGCTCAAAAACCCTCTCCAAAATACTGCGTCTATTACTCCAGGGCTCCCACCCTCCTGTCTACTGTCTGTTCCCTCGTGCCCACACCCACCCCACTTTTGCCAAATGTATGTACTCATCCCTTTCTGAAGGCACTGGGGAGGAGAGCAGTAGATAGACAAACTGAGGAATGAAAGAGAACAGAATGTTCTGGAAATCGCAGAAAATCTGGCTTGGGCTGGAGCACATGGGGACGGCAGGGCACGTGCTGAAGAGGAAGGACATTGAGGTCCTGGGTTGACTTCAGCTCTCCCACCGGCCAGTGACATGTGGGGCAAGTTTGTCAGCCACCGAAGCTCCAGTTCCTCACCTGTAAAATAGAGAAGATAATGCCCCCTTGCAAATCCGTGGCCAGAAATAAATGAGGCCAAGTGTGAGAAAGCGTCTAGCACAGAAGGAGACAGGAGGGGCTCTGGATGCCCCAAGAGGGTGGGAGGGAGGTCCTGTCACTCCTCATCAAGGATCTGGGTTTTGTCAGGTGGGTAGCGGGGAGTCAGAGAAAGATTTAAAGCTGGGGAAGGGCTGGTGTTATCATTAAACCCATTTTACAGATGACAACACTGAGGTACAGAAAAGTTAAGTAACTTGCTCAACCCACGTAGTTTGTGGGTGGCAGAACTGGATTTAACCCCTGCTCCTAACCACCATTATGGTTATTCTTCCTTCAGCCGAACAAAGAAGAAGGGCTTGAACACTAAAGAAATGTCATGCATTGAGGTAGAAGAACTGACTGATGAACAGAGGAAAAACTGAACTTGGCCGTCGTTCCAACCTAGTGGTTAAGCTGCTGAAAAAAAGAGAAGAATTTACATAATCTGCATATTCATCAAGGGAGCATCTTGAACCAAGATAGATCCGTGGAGCCAGTGGCAGGACTACCCCTGGCCAAATATTTCGCACATGGGCCAATCTAAGCTCTGCTTATTCCCGAGGCCAACCACGAGGCCTTGTTGAGCTTGGAGAAGAATCTGAGAGAGCAGCCGTCTTCCGTCCTCCAGCATGGCAGACTCATGCAGATCTGGAAGGGAGAGGTCCCAGCGTCAGGATTCAGAAATGCTCACCCACACGTACACAACAAAGAAATGTGCGCCAAGCAAAGGAAAGCCAGAGGTTAGCAACAGGGGAGCCGCTACCGGCACTGGTCACATAATCCGTGGGGCCCCTGCAAAATGAACCCACAGCGCCCCTTTGAAAATTAATAACAGTTGAAGACGACAGCACAGCCTGGAACCAAGAGCAGGGCCTTTGACGACGTTCAGGGGTGACGACGCCCTCCCTTCCTCCCCCACTGTGCCTCTGACCCTATATTTTTCGTTTTATTTTGAAACAATGTCAAGCTTATAGAAAAGTTGCAAGTACTATGCAAATAACACTTTTTTTCTTACTGAACTGTTTGATGGTAGATTCGAGGCTGAGACATTTGACTTTCTAGGAAACCTCAGTAGTTTATGGGGACAGTAGAAGAGTCTGTTTGATGCTGTGGTTTTTGTCATTGCATCCTAACGGGCGGGGCACAACGGTGATATGTCCCGTTTCTGATGTTCACGTGGATTACGTGATGAGAACGGTATCCAGACTTCACTCTTCTGTCCTTTGTAATTAGTTTCCTTATCACTATTCTGTAGAAGAGGCAATAAAGGCCTTTTGCATTCATATTGGTGCCCAGATCATTAAGATTATTTGGAGAAAGATTTTTATCTGTATATGTGTGTATACACATATGTATATATACAAATAGATGTATAGGTCTGTGTATGTTTATATACATACACTTATATTATGTTATCTGGTTTCCAAAACAGATTTGCATCAGTTTAAGAAAAAATAACAGGATAACTAAAAAATTGTGCAGTCATTTAAATACTCTTATACTCTGCTGGTGGGAGTGCCAATTAGTATAATGTTTCTGAAATGCATCTTATCATATAAAGTCTTAAAATGTTTAAATATTGGCCAGGCACGGTGGTTCACACTCACTCTCACCCCACACACACCCACACACTCACACACACACACACACTCACACACACACACACCCTCCAACACATACATATGGGATTATCAGCTGAAGAACTTAGAATGACTAGAAAAATAAAAAGAGATCAAATAGAAAACAGAGCTTAGAGACGGGGGGGTAGAATGAGCACTGTGATAGGAGTTCCAGAGAGGAGACTGCCCTTTTCCTCACTTGTGCTGCTTGGAGTGTGTGGCCAATGGCCGTACGCCTGAGATCTTCTCCAGAGACGTGTGCTCAGCCTACAAGAGCCACCCTGCTGAGGAAATTATACTCCTCCACCTAGGGCAGGACTGGTGGACACAGGGATACACAAGCCCAGGCCTCAGCTTGAGGCTGGACAGCTCTGCAGACCACCCTCCCTCCCAGGATCTGGTCCAGATTAGATGTTGCCTGAGGCAGCACCCGCCCCTCCTGCTCCCCTCGCTCCCTTGGAGGTTTTTCCTGAGTGAGCCAGCTGCATGTGCACGCTGTCTCAGGATCCACCTCCAGGAACCCGGCTGCTGTGGGTTGAATTGTGTCCCCCAGAAAGACATGTGGAAGTCCTAACCCCCAAGACCTGGGGATGTGTCCTAATTTAGAAATAGGGTCTTTGGAGTTGCATTTAAGGTAAGATGATGCCAGACTCCATTAGGGTGGGTCTTCACCCACTGGGATTGATGTCTTTACAAGAAGAGATGAGACATAGACAAAGACACACTGAGAGAGGCCGTATAATGATGGAGGCAGAGATCTGAGCCATGTGCACTCATAGCCAAGGACTGCTGGCAACACCAGAAACTAAAAGAAAGGCATGGGACAAAGTCACCCACCCCTAGATGTTATGACAGCCATGGGAAACTAGGACACTGACCTAAGCCAGCAGCCTTGGGTGTGCAGAGGGGAGTGCTGAAAGGATAGGGTTGGGTCACCGATGGCTGCTGGGGGCAGGGGCAGCCTGCCACCCTGACCCGGGGCCCTGTGGGAATCCTGCCATTTGGCACACACCACCCATGTAAGGGGCTCCCTCTAGAGAGATGGCAAGTGGGAAAGCAAGCCCAGACTGCAGAGGAGACCCGCGCCAGCCATTGCTGTCAATCAGCAGAGGAGACCCGTGTCAGCCATTGCTGTCAATCAGCAGAGGAGACCCGTGCCAGCCATTGCTGTCAATCAGCCTAGTTTTTAAAAATATAAACAGACAACAAGGTTTACCAGGTACTTGAGAAAAACCAACGGCATAGAAGAAGGCATGAATCAATATGAACCAATAAAACATCGAACCCATGAGAAAACCATGATCATTAGGAAATAAAAGACTTTTTATTTCTAACTGGTATTATGGGAGAGATTCAAGGTGTTAGTCCATAAAACAAGAAGTTGTAAAAAGTAGCAATCAGAGAGAAGTTCTTAGAAGTTAAAAATATTATTAGCCAGGTGCAGTGGCTCACGCCTGTAATCCCAGCACTTTGGGAGGCCGAGGTGGGCAGATCACCTGAGGTCAGGAGTTCGAGACCATCCTGGCCAATATGGTGAAACCCTGTCTCTACTAAAAACACAAAAACTAGCCTGGCATGGTGGTGCACACCTGTAATCCCAGCTACTTGGGAGGCTGAGGCACAAGAATTGCTTGAACCCAGGAGGCGGAGGTTGCAGTGAACTGAGATCACACCACTGCACTCCAGACTGGGCAACAGAGCGAGACTCCGTCTCAAAACAAAAACAAAAACAAATAAAAAAAATATTGCTTCGATGATGCCAGTTAGAGCAGAAACTCAGAGTACTTCAAGATGAATGCATTGGGTAGGCAGATGACAGATGATTACAAAGCCAAATGACGTAGTGATCAGGTGCAAAGTATTATTTTGTCAAACACACACACACAAAAAGTCAATTGGAACTCCAGGAGAATAAAAATCTATAAGAAACCGGTGATCTACTGAGAAGCAAACTTAAATGCAGAACGACTTGGAGCAATTAAAGGCATAAGAAGAGAGAATCCACTGGCGTCAGCTCTGGGCATAGCAGCAGCAGGCGTGTCTGTTCTCTCACTGGTGGGTCCAGTGGTGCACCCTGGCTTCATTGCAGATACCTGGCGTGGCGGATGGGATGGATAGAATGGCCCTCAGAGGAGGTCCACTGTCTTCTTAGTGCTCCTCCCTCTTTTGCAGAGGCTAAGAAGCAAAACCCATGGTTTCAGACTCCCTCCCAGTGGAGTTGCATTTGTGATTTATGTTTGGCCACCAGATGTGCTTCACGGAAGGTGGAAGTGGGGCGAATGTGAGCTTGTCCGCTCTCTTTTTGTCTGCTCTTTTTGCTAACAAGCGTGGTCACCAAGGCACTGGGTTGTCTGCTGTTTTTTCTGCGGCAGCGTTAACAGCACCATGATGCCCAGAGACAGGGCATCAGGCTTCTGTTTTTTTTCTGAGGTGGATGTTGCTCTTGGAGCATGGTTCAGGAGCCTATAAAAGCATGAGGGGCAGCTTCTTGACCTTGTGTCACACTCGAACTGGCTTCCTGGAACCCACAGCACGTCTCAACTTTCCTGTTGGGGCAGAGATGGCAGCTGCCCTGGCTGGACACTTGTGGGAGTCGTTCCTGAAAGTCCTACCTAGAGCCTTGTCTGCCAGCCCTTTGAAAACATTTGAAAGCATCTAGTTCCTTCTAGTAAATCTCTTTTGGTTTAAAATAGCCACCATGGTTCCTATTAACTGCAACTGAACCAATAAAAGTGGTTTTCAATATTTAGAATTAACCTGTAGAAAAATATTTTAAAGTTATAGAACAGGATATAGAAGCTATAAATCTTAACTGTAAAAGGATTAGTGAGGCTGAAAGACACAGGAAGGTGAGAAGAGGTAGAGAGAAGTGGGAAGTGATCAGTCCTGCAACTTAACTATCTAGTTCATGGATCGAGAATAGATGTTTTGGTTTCTTTTATATTTTTAAAATTATAGATGCAATTAATGGATGAGCCAAAAGCAAAAATATAATTTAAAAAACTTGGCAGATGAGAAAGAGGAGGGAAGAGAGATAAAACCCATTTCTGGCAATAATACTGTCTAAAAATTAATAGAAAAACAGGGTTAGCACACATTTATAGTTAGAATGTAACCACTGGTTTGTTGAAGATCTGATGGTTTTAAGTGTGTGGTCTTATTTCTGCATTCTCTATTCTGTTCCATTGGTCTATGTGTCTGTTCTTGTACCAGTACCATGCTGTTTTGGTTACTGTAGGCTTGTAGTATAGTTTGAAGTTGGGTAGTATGATGCCTCCAGCTTTGTTCTTTTTGCTTAGAATTATCTTGGCTATTTGGGCTCTTTTTTGGTTCCATATGAATGTTAAAACAGTTTTTTCTAATTCTGTGAAGAATGACAATTGTAGTTTAATGGGAACAGCATTGAATCTATAAATTGCTTTGGGCAGTATGGCCATTTTCACAATATAGATTCTTCTTAACCATGAGCATGGAATGTTTTTCCATTTGTTTGTGTCATCTCTGATTTCTTTGAGCAGTGGTTTGTAATTCCTTTTGAAGAGATCCTTCACTTTCCTTGTTAGCTGTATTCTTAGGTGTTTTGTTCTGTTTGTGGTAATTGTGAATGGGAGTTCATTCATGATTTGGCTCTCTGCTTGACTTGTTAGTGTATAGGAATGCTAGCAAACCCAGCAATCCCATTACTGGGTATATGTCCAAGGGAATATAAATCATTCTATTATAAAGATACATGCACGTATATGTTCATTGCAGCACTATTCACAATAGCAAAGGCATGGAACCAACCTGAAGGCCCTTCGGTGATAGACTGGATAAAGAAAATGTAGTACATATACACCATGGAGTACTATGCAGCCATAAAAAGGAATGAGATCATGTCCTTTGCAGGGACATGGATGGAGCTGGAAGTCATTATCCTAAGCAAACTAACACAGGAAGAGAAAACCAAATATCACATGTTCTCACTTATAAGTGGGAGCTGAATGATGAGAACACATGGACACAAGGTGGAGGGGGAATAACACACACTGGGGCCTGTTGGAGGGCTGGGGCTAAGAGGAGGAAGGGCATCGAGAAGAATAGCTAATGACTGTTGGGCTTAATACGTAGGTGACGGGATGGTTTGTGCAGCAAATCACCATGGCACACCTTTACCTATGTAACAAACCTGCGCATCCTATACATGTACCCCTGAACTTAAAATACAACTTGGAAAAATAAATGAAAGAAAGACAATTTTTTTTAAATAGTAATCACTGGAAGAACAGAAACAAAAGTTGTTAAAATGGGCTAACTCTGAGAGAGGGAGACTATCAATATATTATAGGGAGAAAGATTTTTACTTTTCATTTTATACTTTATGTACAGTCAAAACTTCTATTACATGCACACAATTACTTACATAAAATACATTAAAATTGTATAAATGTTCAGTTATAAACACAGTGATACCTGGAGTTTTTGGTAGAGCACTTTTTCAGGAATAGATATTTATGAGTCCTCGTAGATCTGAGAGTGTCTTTTGGCTGCACTTGCAACTGAGTAACTTGGTTGGACGTAGATTACGGAAATCACAATCTGTTGACCTAAAATTCCGTAGCTGTTGCTCCACCTGGCCTTTCGTGTTGTAGAAAAGTCTAATGTATATCTAACTTTTTCCCTTTGTAGACAAATTTTTTTTCATTAATACATGTATTAGCTTCCTTTATCCTTAACATTAAAAACTTTCATCAGGATAAGTCTGGATGAGATTTCCTTTATTATTTTTTTAAAACTGGCACTTAGTATTTCCTTTCTAGTTGAAGGTAAAGTCTTCCTCCAGTTTAGGAAATGCTCCTTCTATTTCTTTCTTTCATTTGGTGTCTCTTCCTTCTCCTCTGTTGCTGGTTTTTTGTTTGTTTGTTTGTTTTTGTTTGTTTTGTTTTGTTTTGTTTTTGAGACGGGGTCTGGCTCTGTCACCCAGGGTGGATCTTGGCTCACTGCAACTTCCACCTCCCAGGTT
The DNA here is from genome assembly GCF_000001405.40 of Homo sapiens. Taxonomy (NCBI): domain Eukaryota; kingdom Metazoa; phylum Chordata; class Mammalia; order Primates; family Hominidae; genus Homo; species Homo sapiens. Next base: position 151,908,423 of record NC_000007.14, read on the forward strand.
CAAGCGATTCTCTTGCCTCAGCCTCCCAAGTAGCTGGGACTACAGGTGCCCACCACCCTGCCCAGCTAATTTTTGTATTTTTAGTAGGGACGAGATTTTGCCATGTTGGCCAGGCTGGTCTCGAACCCTTGACCTCAGGTGATCCACTCGCCTCAGGCTCCCAAAGTGCTGGGATTATAGGTGTGAGCCACCGCACCCAGCCTTTTTTTTCCTTAGAATTCTTATTTGTGTAGCTGTCCATTAACTTCTCCTTTGAGGCTCCACCTGCCTGGTTTCTCCATCTCTGATCTCAGCCTTCAGGCCCCCTCACACACGGATATCAGATTTGTCTTCCTAAGGCACAGCATTCCACGTTCTGCATGCTTGGTGCAACCTGGCTTCATACAGAACCTTCATCTGAACCAAACCGGCATTCTTCCCTGAATTAAACAAATCCATGGTAAAACAGTAATCAAATGTTATTTCCATAATGTAATAAAAAATACCCAACAGAGTCATTGAAGCAAGAGAGGTATTCTCATTAAGTTCTGGATAAACCAGGAATCATAAGTATTAAAAAGGAGTCAAGATTTTCTATTTGATAATATAATCACCTACCCAGTAAACAAATTAAAATCGACTGAAAAACTCTTATAACCAGTAAGGTAATTCTATAAAGTGACTGGCTGGAAAATAAATACACAAAACTTTTGCTTTTTAAAACTGTAATAACAATAACCAGCTAGAAAGTTAAAGGGAAGAAATATGTGATTCATGAAATCAAGGCATAAGCGAGCAACATGCAGCTCCTAGATGAAGAAAGTAACAAAAACTTCAGCATGAGACTCGAAGAAAACTGGAATAAACGGAGAGGCAGTCTCATTCTCGGGCGAGGAGACTTAAGGCTGTAAAATCTCCATTCTTCCCGAAGTATCCTCTAAAGTGAAGAGAAGTGAACCATATCACTCCCGGAGGACTCCTAAAGTTTTGAATGTGTACCTTTAAAGTTTCTCCAGAAGGCTAAATCTAAGAGAAAACGCATTATGGCTCGGAGGAAGAGTGTGTAAGGAGAGGAGACTTTCTTTAGTAGGGCAACCAAATTACCAAGTGGGGCCACGAAAAGATGTGAAGTGGGGAGGGGGAAGCATCGGGCCAACGAAACCCCAAAGAACTGTGCAGCCGGGGCTTCACTGTGACATTTGAAATCATGACGGTGTTTTGTATAATTTATATAACTATCTAATAGTGTCCTTACAATTTAAAATTATATGTATAATTTAGGCCAGGGGTGGTGGCTCACGTCTGTAATCCTTGTACCTTGGGAAGCCGAGGTAGGCAAATCACTTGAGGTCAGGAGTTTGAGACCAGCCTGGCCACCATGGCAAAACCCTGTCTCTAATAAAAACACAAAAATTAGCCGGGCATGGTGGCACACGTCTGTAATCCCAACTACTTGGGAGGCTGAGACAAGAGAATTGCTTGAACCTGAGAGGCGGAGGCTGCAGTGAGCTGACACTGTGCCACTGCACTCCAGCCTGGATGTCGGAGTGAGACCCTGTCTCTAAATAAATAAATAAATAAATAAATAAATAAATAAATCGTATATTTTTTTATATAATACTGTGGTTGAGAAGGTAACACTGGCTGCTGTCATTAAACAGCTTTCGTAGGCTACCACTGTGTACCCAATCCCTTCCAAAGTGGGACTGGGAGGGAAGGAGAGACTAGGAAATCTTGGGGGCACAGGGAGATGAAATAGACTTCCTGGCAGGAATGTAGACTCTTCTCTTCCATTAAAATGGATCTGGAGAAAGGATCCTGGAAGGTCGTTATCAGCTCTGTGGGAACCACCATACTTCCTCCTAGAAGGGTTTGACTTTTCATAAATCTTAACCTTCAAGGTGAAGAATCGATGTCAGAGGAATAAAAGACACCTTTGGGGTGGGCCCTTTGCCCTGTGCTCCATGCCGTCTTTTTGCTCAGCAGTAGTAGTTCAAAGAATGTCTTACGGGGATATTCTCATGCCAAACACTACAAATGCTCCAACAGAGAGTATTTTAAGTCCACAAAAGGCAACATCTTAAGAAAGAATTTAAAATACACTTTCCTGGCCAGATGCGGTGGCTCACGCCTATAATCCCAGCACTTTGAGAGACCAAGGTAGGCAGATCACCTGAGGTCAGGGGTTTGCGACCAGCCTGGCCAACATAGTGAAACCCTTCCTCTACTTAAAAATACAAAAATTTTAGCCAGGTGTGGTGGTACACACTTGTAATCCCAGCCACTTGGGAGGCTGAGGCACAAGAATCGCTTGAACTTGGGAGACAGAGGTTGCAGTAAGTGGAGATCATGCCATTGCACTCCAGCCTGGGTGACAGAGTAAGACTCTGTCTCAAAAATAAAATAAATAAAATATAAAATAAAATAAAATAAAATAAAATAAAATAAAATAAAATAAAATAAAATAATAAAATAAAATAAAATACATATTTCCTGGACGTTGACTCTAGTATTTCAGCTCTGCCCTTCAAACCTGCTGCTGTGGTTTGGCTGTGGTTTGTCCCTGCCTAAAACTCATGTAGTTGCCAGTGTTGAGAGCTAGTGGGACCTTTAAGAGGGTAGATTCGTCATGAATAGATTAATGCTGTGTCTAGTGTCTTTGTTGAGTTAATTCTTGCTCTCACAGGACTGGATGAGTTACTCTGAGCGTGGGATTTTTATAAAGTGAGGCTTGTCCTCATGTTTCATTCCTTTTGCACACATCCATTTGCCTTTCTGCTTTTCTGCCACGAGGTGAAGCAGCACCAGAAGCTGAGCAGCACCAGCGGCATGCATCTTGGACTTCCCAGCCTCCAGAATTGTGGGCCAAATAAATCTCTTCTTAAAAATAAATTACCTAGCCTCAGGTATTCTGTTATAGCAACAGAAAATGAACAAATAAACCCGCCATGAAAACACTGAGTAATGAACTGCCATCATCTGGGTATTTGTTGAGTACTTTGCCAATAGGAGATTTCTTGGCTCAATATTTAGAGCTTTCAAAGCTATGGCACTGGGTTCTTCTCTCTTTCAAAAATCATTGAATATCAAGCATTGGAAATTGGATAAGTTATAAAATGTAGCGCCACTTAACCTTGAAAAGCCCATAGAGATATGTGATATGGAGGTATATATCTAAAGAACACATTTGAAAAATGTTTTTAAAGTAGTTGCTCTTAGAGGGAGTTAGGAGTAAACAGCTTTTTGTTTATTTGTCTTAATAAGAAGTCTTTGTCCAGTGTTTATCTCTTCAATTTGACTTTTCAACCAACTTGACTATATTTGTGTAATTATGATAAAAAATAAAAACTAGGCCAGGCACGGTGGCTCATGCCTGTAATCCCAGCACTGTGGGAGGCCAAGGCAGGTGGATCCTTTGAGGTCAGGAGTTCAGGACCAGCCTGGCCAACATGGTGAAACCCTGTATCTACTAAAAAATACAAAAATTAGCTGGGCGGTAGTGGTGTGCACCTGTAATCCCAGCTACTCGGGAGGCTGAGGCAGGAGAATCCCTTGCCCCTGGGAGGCGGAGGTTACAGTGAGCTGAGATTGTGCCACTGCACTCCAGTCTGGGTGACAGAGTGAGACCCTGTCTCAAAATTAATTAAGTAATTAGTTAATTAAATAAAATAAAAACCCCACAGTGCATCATTTTCCCACTTCTGGCCTTCTACCTCCCAGTTTTCAGTTGCTTTGTGGTCACACTCACCAACAGACAGCAATTCCTGGCCCTTTGCTCTACTGTCCTGAAATGCCTTCTAATCACAGTGTTGTAGGGACTGCAAGTTGAAGGAAGAGCACCAGGCTGTTTAGCCCAGGATGGAAGACTGTATCTTGGCTATTCTGAGGCCAGTAAGGAAACTATATTTCACACTAAAATGATGAGTAAAACTGTTAACAAGAATCAAACCTTTGAAGAATTCTAAGCTGGAGTTAGGCACTAGCCACATAAGTAGGTGAAGATGTTGTTGTTCTTTTTAAAGTTAAGTGTTCTCCAAGTTCTTAAAAATTAATCACATAGGCAGTTATGGCCCTATCTCTCAACCTAGACACTGTATTCAAGGATTGGGCTACTGGAAACTTCCGCTGTCTTATTTTCTTGTCTCAAATTCAGCCAGTAAGAGTCACATGGGCATGAAGACTGACATCAGCAAATCTATGTCAAAACCTAAACTCCGATGCAGAAAAATTCAAGTTTAACCTTTTACTGGGCCAACTAATCCCCATAATATTTGGAAAGTCATCCCAAGATGGGGTGAAGCCCAGCACTGATGGTGCTTTATAGATGCCTTTACCCACCCCTCTAAATTAATAAAGTGGAATTAATTAGGTTAATAAAAATCAGTATGCCTGTATCCACCAGGGTCCTCTTGAGAGACAGACCTAATAGGATCTAGAGATAGATAGATAGATAGATAGATAGATAGATAAATAGGCAGGTAGAAGATAGATAGATAGATGATAGATAGATAGATGTGATATCTCAATCTGTATATCTTGAGTTAATAGCAGATTTTTATATTCAGATTGAGAAAAAACAAGGTTTTTACTTAACCATTTCTATATTCCACCTGTATCTTCTTTCCCCCACACTGAGAATCCTACTTCTCAAAGATATGTGGGATAATAGAATTAAAATATCTCATAATTATATATTTGCTTTACCCCACACACTATATTCCCAGAACAATACTAATACTACCACATTATCATTATTAAAACACTTAAAGTGTTGTTTATATATGTTATCTTCATTCTTTATTTGTCATAATCATCAGATTATATAGGTATCACATTTTACAATCTCTTCTTTTAACTCCTCACTCATCTTGGTTTTACAAGTAACTACATACTTCTCATCACCAGTCCTTCTGTTGACATTTGCAGAAATTTAGTTGTCTGAAACTTATTTTCTAGTAGATTCCTTCAAAAGAAGTCAAAGAAACAGTATTTTCTGAGTTCTTCCATGCTAATAATGATGTGTGCTCTTTATACTTAAAAAGGTTTTTGCTTGATATAAAATCTTAGGTTCTGTATTAGTCCATTTACCCATTCTTGGGTGTGTCTTTATAGCAGTGTGAAAACTCCTATAAATTAATAAAGAAAAGAGGTTTAATTAACTCACAGTTCCACATGGCTGAAAGGCCTCAGGAAACTTATAATCATGGTGGAAGGGAAAGAGGCACATCTTATATGGTGGCAGGTGAGAGAGAGTAAGCAAGAGCAGGGAAAACTGCCTTATAAAACCCCCAGATCTCATGAGAACTCACTCACTATCACGAGAACAGCATGGGGGAAACTGCCCCCATGATCCAACCACCTCCCACGTGGTTCCTCCCTCGTCATATGAGGATTATAGGGATTACAACTCGAGATGAGATTTGGGTGGGGACACAGAGCCAAACCATATCAGGTTCCCATCTTCTTTCTTTGAATAACTCAAATTTGTTACTCTTGCAGCATAAAGTATTGTTGTTGAAAAGTCTTATGATAACCTAGTATTCTTTGGAAGTCAGTTTCTCTCTTTTATCTAGATACTCAAAGTTTATTTTTTCTTTTTTTTAAAGTCCTGTAATTTTACTAGAATATGTTTTGGTGTTGATTTGTATGGGTCAATATTTTCAGGTGTTCTCTTTCAATATAGAGTTTTAAATCTTTGTTATTTCAGAAATGCTTTCTTTAGTTTTCTTAACTAGTTTTTTGAACTATAGTTTTTAGTATTTGTTCTGACCCCTTGCTTTGGTTTTCTTCTTCAGGGACTCTTGTTATTCATGTGTTGGGTCTTCTTTGTCTATCTTCACTATTTGTCACACTCTTGAATCTTCCTACTGTTTTATTTGTCCTTTTTGGATTTTTAAATTTCCCTTCTATTTTCCTTCTCATTATCGGTTGCATTTTTTTCTTGTGTTTCTTCTAGTTTAATCTTCATTTCTAAGATGGTTCTTTCTAGTTCTTTTTTATATCTGTCAACTCACTTCTGTCAACTCACTTTCTAATTGTAATTTATGTTGTTCTTTTGCATCTATGTCATTTTCTTAATGCTTTTAGCTTTTTTCAATACATTCTAATATAGCCCCCGCCTGTGTATCTGCCATGCATAATTCCTTTCCCTTGAGCATGGGCAGGACCTATTGAATATGAAAGAGTATTATTGTCAGAATTAGGTTACATTATATGGCAAAAATGAGGGGAGCTTGCAGATGTAATTAAGACTCTTAATCAGCTGGCTTTAAGTTAATCAAGATGGTCAGAGTGGGACTGACCTAATCATATGACTTCTTTTAATGAGAGCCTAGAGGTCAGAGACAGAGAAGTCAGAGAGATTCAAAGCAGCAGAGACACTCTCCTGTTGGCCTTGAAGAAGTCAACTGCTGGGCCATGAAGGGGCTATGTGGCAGGAACTAGTGGGCAGCCTCTAGAAGCTAAAAGTCTTAGTTCTATAATCACAACAAACTGAATCCTTCCAATAACCAGTGAGCTTGGAAAAGGCCCCTGAGCCCCAGTGAAATTGCAGCCTCAGCCTTGTGAGACCCTGAGCAGAGAACCCAGCTAACCTGTGCCTGGGCTCCTGACCCACAGAAACTACACGATAATAAATGTATGAAGTTTGTGGCAATTTCTTATGCAGCAATGGAGATGCAATATTACAGCTTTGATCTGCCCAGTGAGCATGTCCTCCAGTGCACCCTCACGGTTTGTAAGGATGTTATTCTACTCTTGTTCTTTTTCTAAATAGTACCTTTATATGAGATTTGATCTTGATATTTTTCTGCTGCTACTTTTTATATGAAGTTGGTTTTCCTGACTTTTATAAGAAGGCTTGGTTCGAATAGCTTCTTCTTTCTTTTTAACTTAATGGAGAACCTTCTGTGGTTTTCATGTAGCAGCTTGCTTGTCGGGGTTTACTGGCATGGTTTCCTTGCTTTTATCTGGACGTTCTCTTTTCTTCACTTCTGTTCTCCCTCTTCCGCTCAATCCTGATTTTATTCCAAGACATTTCTCCTTAGTGTGGGGCCTTATCCAGGCAGGGGCCCTTGTGGGACAGTTTCAAGAGTTTAGAAGGTTGGACCGATCCTGCCCTTGAAGGGTTTGCAGCAGAAGCCTCCTATTCTCTATTGGAATAGACAAAGCCCCTCCCAGTTTCAGTCACCATCCTAAGTCCTCAAACCAACCAGCCCAGCCAGGTTCTGCCTATTGTTCTGTTAGGTGCCCCATTACTCCCCTGCATCTCCCACGCAGGTGCCAACACTGTTCAGGTCTTATGGCATTAGCGATTGGTCCCACCTGCATGTATTTGGGGGTTGATGGGGACACTCGACACCTAATTATTTTGTAAATGCTGTGTATGGGTGTTTGCTTTTCCTACTTAGTTGTTCTGTATGTTTTTACCTGGGGATTTGAGTAAATCCAAAGACTCTGCTGCTACCACCTCTGTGCATCTCCCCAGAATTCCCCCAGTATCTCTTTTTAGGGCTTGAGAAAGCTGAATTCCCAAAGAGGTAAACTAATTTAAGTCACACAGCTAGTGAGTGGGGAAATCAGCATTTGGACCTGGTTCTGATTCAGAGCCCTTTTTTGTTTTGTTTTGTTTTTTCCTACATTTTGTTAAATAACTGCATTTGCTATAGTAATTCCCGGCTTTAAAACTTAAATTAGTTTCCCATGAATAAAACCAATCAATCATTTTAAAGACCTTCGGCATTCAACATTTCATGCTGCCTGTCCAGCCTCATTTCTGCAACTCCCTCAAACATACCCCTGCTGTGGTCCCAAAAAGCTGTCCTCATTTCTTCCCTGATGGCCTGTACTCATCCCCTGAAAAGCTGTCCTCATTTCTTCCCTGATGGCCTGTACTCATCCTTTACCTCTTCTTCAGAGTCGGAATCAGCTGGCCCGATGGTGTTGAGTTATCGGAACTTATTAACATTAGTGTCACTAAAATTGGTATATAGACCCCCACTGCTAAATTTGGCCTAAAAAAAAAAAAAGTCCAAATCTACTGTCCCTCTGCTAACCAACTAACAAGTAACTTCAGTAATTTTTGATTTTTTTCTCGTGATTTGTGGAGATGAGGGGAAATATTTTGAGGCATAATCTGTGCTTTTCAATGCCTGTCTACATTAGCTTCCCTGCAGGGCCGTGCTCCCTCTGAAGCCTGCAGGAAATTCTTCCTGGCTCTTGGTGGTTGCTGCAAACCCTCGTGTTCCTCGGCTTTAGATGTGTTGTTCCAATCCTCCATCTTCACATGGGGATCCTCCATGTGTCTGATCACGGCTCACTGCAGCCTCAACCTCCTGGGCTTAAGGGATCCTCCTGCCTCAGCCTCCCCAGTAGCTGGGACTACAGTTGTGCGCCACCATGCCCAGCCAATTTTTTGTTTTCAGTAGAGATGGGTCTGATGATGTTGTCCAGGCTGGTCTCAAACTCCTGGAAGCAAGTAATCCTCCTGCCTCAGCCTCTCAAAGTGCTGGGATTGCAGGCGTGAGCCACTGTGCCACTGTGCCCGGCCAGGCCATCTTCTTATAAGGACACTGGCCCTTATGCATCAGGGGCTCACCTACTCCAGGATGACCTCATCTTAACTAATTACACCTGCAATGGCCCTGCTTCCAAATAAGGTCACATTCTGAGGTCCTGGGGATTCAGACTGCAATATATTAGTATCTTTTGGACCCACAGCATTCGTTCCCACTTTCCTTTCTCCCACTTCAAGCAAGAAATCTCTTTTTTTTTCTTTTTTTCTTTTTTTTTTTTGAGATGCAGTCTCACTCTGTTGCCAGGCTACAGTGCAGTGGCGCGACCTTGGCTCACTGCAACCTCCGACTCCCTGCCTCAGTCTCCCGAGTGGCTGGGATTACAGGCACGTGCCACCACGCCCAGCTAATTTTTGTATTTTTAGTAGAGATGGGGTTTCACCATGTTGGCCAGGATGGTCTCGATCTCCTGACCTTGTGATCCGCCCCCGTCAGCCTCCTAAAGTGCTGGGATTACAGGCGTGAGCCACCACACTCGGCCAATCTCTCTTTTTACTTTTTGCTTCAGGGGAGGGATGGGAGAGCCAGCAAGCCCCTATGGCTTTTGTGTTTTCTAGAAACCTAAGGACAATTGGGATGGGGACATAGTGCCTTGGCCAGAAGCAGAGAACACGTAGGGGCTTCCCTCCAGATTTGAAAAATCCCCAACAGCGTGGCTAGGGTGGGTAGCAAGATCCTGACAGTCCCGAGGCCCTATTTTTCTACCACAAACCTTGAGGAATACACAGGTAAGCCCTGGACTTACCAGGGGACAAGGGCCCCCCAGGGCTGAAGGCCCATTATGGTTGCTTTAGCTTCCTCTTCTCGCAGTGGATTTAGTGAAACAGACATCTTAGGTGACAATGCACTGGGGAATAAAGTCCACCCTATTATTCCACGTGTCTGAGACATTTCACCAACATCTCGTTTAGTTTTGCAACATCTCTGTGTAGTAAAGCAAGGGCAAGCTTCACTCTACAGGCATCAAGAAGTCAGACGACCTTTAGAAAAATCCCCTAAGTCAGCAGCAAACCTGGGAATAAATCCAGGGTTTTCTGATTCAACTTTTGTATCTGCGTGTGAATGTTTGCTCTAGACCTTGCTACCTTAGTAAAATAGAACAAAGTACTGTGTAAACAGCCAGCACCTTGTAAATTCTAGATAATGACCCTGCTCAGCCTAGAAGAGATGGTCTGTTCACAAGGGAAGTATTCTCCTTTTGGGGTTCTACACCCATTCCCAATGCTGGTGGAGAAGGTGTGGCTGGACTGCTTGGGCACAGCTGGCCCCAGGCATGGCAGGAACGCCCTTGGCTGTGCACAGCGGCTGGGGTTTTATTGCATTTGTTTGGGAGATTCTTAGACAAAGCACTGCTTCTTGAAGTTAAGTTCCAGGGAAAGCAGCGCAGTATAAGGAAATCGTTTTTTTTCCTTTTGGTTCCTCAAATGGAGCTGCATATTCAAGGGGTAATCCAGATCCACAGCGTCTGTTCACAATGGGCTCTGAGGCTCGTTCACTGGTGAAAAAACAAATTGTTGAGGACCTTCTATCTAACAGAGCCCAGGCCCTGGACTAGCGGGTGCAGGTGCTGCAGGGAACACAGCTGAGCCGCTGTCTTCAAGAAGCATTCCAGTAGCAGGAGTGAGACTCACTTAAGCAAACACATGCAGAGCCCGTCAGATGGGGATAGGGCTATGGAGGTGATGTGTGGAAGCGTGGAGCAGAGGAGTTGCTCTAGCTGTGGCACACTGGAAGGGCCTCTCAGAAAAGACTGGAGAGACAAGAACAGAGCCAGCAACTACCTGGCATTGGAAGCAGAACAAACACCAACAGGGCTTCCTGTGAAAACAAATGAAATGAGATGTCTGATGTGCCGGCATGGCAAGGGTTTAGTGAACCACAGCTGCCTTCGCCTCTTCCCACCCTCTGAGCCTCAGTTTCCTAATCTGTCCAATGGAGATAACAGAATCATACCACAAAATGCTGCTTTGGGATTCAAAAGAAAACAATAGATGTGAAAACAACCTGTAAATTGTAAACTCCGATAAAGCCGGGCATACATAGCAGCGTGCACCTATGGTCCCAGCTACTCAGGAAGCTGAGGAAGGAGGATTACTTGACCTCAAAGGTTTAGGCTGCAGTGAGCTATGCTGGGGCCACTCCAGCCTGGGTGACAGAGAGAGATTCTGTCTCTAAAAATAAAAACAAAGAAATAAAAGTGTGAAGAGAATAGCTGTTACTGTCCAAAGAGGTGCTGGATGAATGTTCGCCACCGGGACACATTGGCAGCACTTCTTCAGGAGATTTTTTCTTTTTTCTTTTTCTTTTTTTTTGAGACAGAGCCTTGCTCTGTCACCCAGGCTGGAGTGCAGTGGCCTGATCTCATCTTGCTGCAAGCTCTGCCTCCTGGGTTCAAGCGATTCTCCTGCCTCAGCCTCCCAAGTAGCTGAGATCATAGGCATGCACCAGCATGGCTGGTTAATTTTTGTATTTTTGGTAGAGATGGGGTTTCGCCATGTTGACCTCGCTGGTCTTGAACTCCTGACTTCAGGTGATCTGTCCGCCTCAGCCTCCCAAAGTGCTGGAATTACAGGCATGAGCCACCGCTCCTGGCCTCAGGAGTTTATCTAAATAGGAGAGCTGCACTTTGTCTCTTTTCCCCCAGTGGGACAGGAGCATAGTCTCCCACATGGGCCCTCAGAACCAGCTTAACCCAGGCAAGAGTCAGCGGGAAGGCCAGGCTGGTAGTGGGGAGAGCAGGAAGCAGCAGTACAGGGCCGCTGTCCTTTGGCAAGTACATGCCTTTCACCCCTGGGGTCAGGAGAGGCCCACTCCGATTTCCTCCGCAGAGCAGCCACCGCAGCAGCTGCATGTGGGATGCCCTGTATGTGAGGAGTCCAAGCAGAAGCTGGGACACAGGAAGTTGTCCAGGTGAGAGACGATGGTCCAGGCCAGGGCTGATGGGGACCTGCACTGAGGTTCTAGCTTTATATAGTGGCTGGGCACGGTGACTCACACCTGTAATCCCAGCAGTTTCGGAGGCCAAGGCAAGTGAATCACTCGAGTCCAGGAGTTCAAGACCAGCCTAGACAACATGGTGAAACCCCGTCGCTACAAAAAATAACTCAATTAGCTGGGTTTGGTGCCGTGCACCTGCAGTTCCAGCTACTTGGAAGGCTGCGGTGGAAGGATCGCTTGAGCATGGGAGGTCAAGTCTTCAGTGAGCTGTGACTGGGGGACTATACTCCAGCCTGGGTGACAGAGTGAGACCCTGTCTCAAAAAGAAAAATAAAAAGGTGATAGAGCGAAAGTACGAGAGAACATGATGAGTTTTGCCTGAGAAACTGCGTGGGTTTTATTTACTGAGCAGGGAGAAGGCTTGCAGGGGGCAGATGTAGGGGCATTCAGTAGTTCTCTTTGGGCCATGGTAAGTTTGAGGCGCCTTTTGATATCCAAAGGATGATGCTGAGCAAATGGTTTGTAGTCCTGCCTGGAACTCAGATACAAGGAAAGCAGTGAAGTTATGTATTTTCAGTATCATCAGTGCAGAGATGGTAGAAGTCAAAGGATTACTGTGTTGGTTTCTTGTGACTGTCATAGCAGAGTGCACAAATTGGGTGATGTAAAGCAACAGCTGCTTATGCTGTCAAAATTCTGGAGGCTGGAAGTCCAGCATTGGGTGTCAGCAGGAGCACCCCCTCTCCGGAAGCTCTAGAAGAGAATCTTTCCCAGCCTCTTTCAACTTCTGGTCCATCTTTTGCATCACTGGAAGTCCTCAGCCTGCAGTTGCATCACTCCATCTCTGCCTCTGTCATCAGATGGCCTTTTCACCTCTATCTATGTCCAAATCTCCCTCCTATAAGAAGACACCAGTCATTGGATGAGGGTCTACCCTGCTCCAGTATGACCTCATCTTAACCTGCTTAAATGTACAAAGACCCTATTTCCAAATAAGGTTGTGGTGGACAGGAACCTTGGAAGGACACTATTCAATCCTGAACAATTACCTAGGGAAGGGGTATAGACAGAGATGAAACCCAAGAACAGGACGTTGAGGTCGCAATGTTTAGAGGACAGAGAGAGAAGGAGCTCCCTGGTGACACAGGTAGGATGTCAGTGGGACTGAGGTCCGGAAGATGGCAAGCCCTGTTTTTTTTTTTTTTTTTTGAGATAGAGTCTCGGTCTGTCACCTAGGCTGGAGTACAGTGGCTACAGTGGCGCAGTCTTGGCTCACTGCATCCTCCACCACCCAGGTTGAAGCAATTCTCCTGCCTCAGCCTCCCAAGCAGCTGGGACTATGGACACAAGCCACCACACTCAGCTAATTTTTGTATTTTTCATAGAGACGAGGTTCCACCATGTTGGCCAGGCTGGTCTTGAACTCCTGACCTCAAGTGATCTGCCCGCCTCAGCCTCCCAAAGTGTTGGGACTACAGGTATGAGCCACCGCACCCAGCCTGATAGCACATATTTTATCTGTCAGCTTTGGTGAAGTCATCAACTGAGAGCTGGGAAACATGGCTCGGTCGAGTGCCCATTCGAAACCGATTTGGAAGGTTCTCCAGCCATGTCCAGCACCTAATGTAGCGTGAGAAATGGCTGGGCTCGATCATCATTGAGGCTATATGTCAGAGGGAGAAATGAGCAAGGGAGGTTAGGGGGTTCGCAAAGCAGCAGTCAGAATGAAACTGGGGTTTGAGGGGGCAGGAGGTGAGAGCGGGGAATGCTGGGGAGTGGGAAGATGTGGGCTGGGGAGGAGAGCCTCATCCAGGTGGGGGAATGGTTGACGTGGGAGTGCAGAGCGAGTGAGCCAGGAGGACAAAAGGCGGCGGCAGCGGATGCTGGGAATTGAGGTTTCAGAGGTAGTACAGGGCTTGGTTATAACAAAATCTAGTGTCAGCCATGTGAACGGGTGGCTGAGGCTGGTGGAGCTGAAGAATAGGAATCATAAGGCTGAGGCAGCACACAGGACTCCAGGGGGAAACTGTTCTCCTGCAAGAAAACATGTGGCTTGCTTGACTTCCACTCCCAACTCCAAATGGTAGGAAATAAAAGGCAAAGGAAAGAAAGTCAACTTTCATTGCCAGGACTTGAGGGCCAAGATCCCTGAGGCAAGGGAAGCCGGCCTGTTGTCTGTCCACCATCCAGGCTCCCAGGCATTGGCTAAGTCCTTCCTGCACACAATGGTGAGAGGCCAAGAAACCAAGAAGAGGGCAGCTGCAAAGAGGCCACACAGAGCTTCCGGCAGCCTCCCAGTGCTAGAAGGACCAGAGCCTGGAATTCTGGACCTGCCTGGGAGGAGGGGCCCAGGAAACACCTAAACTTACTTTCAGGAAGGGCCAACTGGAAATTGACTATCCCTCAGAGAGTTTGAAATTCAACTTGAAATGGGAATGAAGGAGCTAGACACTAACAGAAAGAAAAGTTTAACAGAAATAGGGACTGAGGTGGGAGAATCACCTGAGCCCGGGAGGTCGAGGCTGCAGTGAGCCGAGATTGCGCCACTGCACTCTAGCCTGGGCAACTGGAGTGACACCCTGTCTCCAAAAATAAAAAATAAATAAATATAAAAGAAACAGGGGTTCCAATAATTTACTAATTGTTATCACAGAACCAGTGAAAATTGGTGAGGCCCCGCCAACTCTTCATCTTAAGCTGGCAGCAGTTTCACTTGTTTTATTATGATTATTCAGCTTGAAATATAAAAACTTGTCACTGGATAAGATTTCGTCAGGTGCATCAAGACTTTTCCAAGAAGCACATTTGTTAAATATTGAACAATTAAAAATCTGTAGGAATTCGTCCAGGCACAGTGGCTCACGCCTGTAATCCCAACAATTTGGGAGGCGGAGGTGGGCAGATCATGAGGTCAGGAGTTCGAGATCACTCTGGCCAACATGGTGAAACCGTTTCTAATAAAAATACAAAAATTAGCCGGGTGAGGTGGCGGGTGCCTGTAAGCCCAGCTACTCGGTAGGCTGAGGCAGGAGAATTGCTTGAACCCAGGAGGCGGAGGCTGCAGTGAGCAAAGATCATGCCACTGCACTCCAGCCTGGGCAACAGAGCAAGACTCTCAGAAAAAAAAAAAAAAAAGAATCTGCAGGAATTCGAGGTGAATCTGAGATGTGCGTTTGTCTTGGTTCTGGAAGTCTTCGGTCACAGCTTCAGCTCCCTGTCTCCTGCTGGTGCCGCTGCCCTTTGGTTTCTCTCCATTATAATCTTGCACTTTTCTTAATAGAGCACTTAGCTTGACCTTCTTTTCTGGCATTTTTCCCTTTTCTATCTCAACACAATTGCCTAACATATTCTTGGGTAATAATGCTACTGAAAAAGGGAAGAGAATAATAGCGACAGAGCTTTGAGGATTAGAAACACGGGGCTAAACCTGTAAGAACCCGTGCCCCTGTTACGCAAAGAGGGAACCGAGAGGCAGAGATATTAGGGAACGTGCTCTGAAAACCTGGGAAGTATAGGAGTGAAGCCCGACCTCTTTCACTTGCAGCCTGCTGCCTCAACACCAAGCTAGGGTGGCACATTCTGGCACTTTCATCGGCACCCTGGGGTGTACATCAAAGATGAGAGAAATTCACGCCCTTGGGCCAGGATCCAGCCTTCACTTGCTGTCTTGTTATTCGTTCATTTTCTTATGTTCCGCAAATATTTATTAAGTGCCTATTCTGTGCCAGGCATTGTTAGGAGCTGGGCTACAGAGACAAAGGAACTCAAGGGCAAGACAGTCTAGGAGGAAGGCAGACAAACAGACAGCAGACAATTACAATGCCAAGTGGCAAGTCTGTGGGGAAAGGGAGGACGTGGTGTTCTACAGCAGACCATTACCAAACCGAAAGACGTCAGGGTGAAACTTGGAAATGACCCAACTGCTAAATAAGAGAACAGCTCATTGTCATGACCCCATAGAAGAATGTTAATCAGCCATTTAATTTCTGGAGACATGAAAATGGTGGTCCCAAAATGATGCTCCTTGAAAATGGCTGGCTGTGGAACAGAATCTACATCTGAGACCCCTTACATTTTTTATAAACCAAAATTCTGCTGAAGGTCGTTAGATGTGCTGAATACCTTCTGTTTGCAGATTCATGAGCTGCCTCAACGGGCACCTTGACCTCTGGCTTCTGGTGGGCTTGGACCAGTGGATGGCACCCCTGGGCCACTGGACCGAGGGAGGAGGAGAATAGAAGTTGGGAATGTGTCCTCCCCGTTCCCTCCCTGCGGTGGCCTCAGTGCTACTGGGTACCCTGGCCACTGCTGGCAGGTCCTACAGGCTCTGGGAGCTGCTTCCTTCACCTCTTCAGGCCGAGGGAGCCGAGGTGCCTTGCTGTCACCAGCTCCAGGACTCTGCACCATCCTCTGGGGCTCCCTACACTCGTAAATAGTCCCTTTATTAATCTCTCCTCAAATTACGTAAATTATGGGTGCCAACTATCTCCTCCTGGACCCCTGGTGAATAGACACCTGGTTTGTGTGGGTCATTTTTGTTGTTCTCTCATGCGTGTTGCCAGCTTTGTATAGTGGTCACCTTTGGGGGTACGTGGCCAACTCATGACCCCTCATCTTCTCTGAGAACTGTCCCCCAAATCGCAGGGGTGGGCCCAGCACCCATGTTTGCACCAAGTGCCTGTAACGGATTGGGCTGGAGTGGAGATCAAAGGTCAACCAGGCCAGCCAGCTGCCCTCTCCTAGGTGCTCGGTCAAGACTGGAGAAAGCCCAGCCAGTCTTGGTGGACGGACGTCCTGTGAACAAAGAAAGAGGAAAAGCCAGTCTGCAGAGGGATTAAAGGGACGGCCTCGGACCTTTGGACCCTTGTTTTGTGAGAGGCACATTTACAAGTTTTTTTAATCCAAATTAAGATAATAGCATACATATTGTTCTGCCATCAGTTTTACAACTCGCTATAGTGAGAACAGTCTTCCTTATCATGAAATAGGCTTTTACAACATGATTTTTAATGACTGCAAGATTTTTGTTGTATGGCTATTATCATGATTTACATCTAGAACCTTGTCCAGGATTAAAATCAATTGTATTGGTCTATATTTTGTTGAAACACCTGCCTCTTTTGGAACTCAGGACCACAGTTGCTTGTCTTTAGTTTTCCTGCACTTTTGCTGTTTTCCAGCGTTCTCTATTTTATTTTATTTATTTATTTTTTTGAGACAGAGTCTCACTCTGTTGCCCAGGCTGGTAGTGCAGTGGCACAATCTTGGCTCAACACAACCTCCGCCTCCAGGGTTCAAGCAGTTCTCAGGCCTCAGCCTCCCAAGTAGCAGGACTACAAGGTGTGCGCCACCATGCTCAGCTGATTTTTGTATTTTCAGTAGAGACAGGTTTCACCGTGTTGGCCAGGCTAGTCTCAAATTCCTGACTTCAAGTGATCCACCTGCCTCAGCCTCCCAAAGTGCTGGAATTACAGGCATGAGCCACCACATCCGGCCTCCTGCATTCTTTAAAGCGCCTCATACATCCATCAGTGTCTTCTGTACATCGTACTTCCTTCATGCTCTGAAATCGAATTCGTTCAAATCAGATGGTCACATGACCTCCTCAATAAAAATTAACATGGATTGAGTGTAGCTCTGTTCTAGGTCTGAGCTATCTCATTAATTGTCACAACGTCATCTCGTTTGCCCTTCAGATGGCCTGTGGGCTTGTTTTTATTTTCTCCGCTTAGTGCCGGACACCATCTTGGAGGACGAGTGTGGGTTTCCTGCGTTAAAGCAGCCGGCCGGGCAGAGCTGAGCAAACCCCAGGACTTCCGACTCAGAATCTACACAGAACACAGCCTCCCTCGGACTGATGTTTGCTCTGCCCTTCACAGTTTGAAGATAATGATCCTGGATAGAATAGAAGCCAAATAAGAGTTCAGCAGCTCTGTGTTTTCATCTGTTTAATGTCACCATCTGTCCCAAGCGGGGAGCCTCTTCTTTCTTGTTCCTGTTTTTCTGAGCATGACTAAAATCTATTTTAAAAGTTGACTCAGCATGACTTGCAAGCCTTCGTTCAGGATGGTTCTTAGCTTTTGTGACACGGTTTAGCCTCTGCCCCTCTTTTCTGTATGTCCTGGGTTATGATCAGTTTAGCAGCAGGGAAGAATCTGGGTTTGAAGTTTGGCTGACCTGAATTTGAATTGTGAATCTTGGCAATAGACCAGTCAGCAGCTATGTGAACTCAAGTGACTCCATCTTCCTGAGCCTCTGCCTCCTTGAGTGACAACCACCACCCCTGCCGTGCTCCATGTCCCTGTGCGGCTCCTCCCACTCTGCATCCGGGCTGGCCCTGTGCCTCGCTTTGCCAACAGAAAGCGCCAGAATGATGCTGTGCCACTCCCAGTCTAGGCCACGAGAAAACCTGGTGGCTTCTACTTTTGTACTTTGGGAAGCTCTGCACCATTGAGGAAGAAGTCTGTCTGCCCTGCTTCTCCACCTCCAGGTGAAAACGCTACATGGAGAGGTGTGTAGAAGAGGGAGAGGCCCAGCCATCCCCAAATCCCAGCACAACCTGACCTTCCACCTGTCCCTGCCAGGGCCCCAGACCCGAGTGAGCAGTGCAGGCCAGTCCCCAGGTGGCCGCAGCCTCAGTGGACACCACGTGGGACAGAAGACTGTCCCACTGAATCTAGTCAACCCTCAGAATCCTGGGGCGAACTGAATGGCTCTCTTTAACCACTGAGATTTGGGATGGTTTGTACACAGCAACAGGTACCCAAACATTGTTAAATGGGAGGAAAAACCAAGGCTTATAGCGTTTAGCAAGGTGCCTGGCACACGACAAGACGGGAGCTACTCTTATTTGACTTTGTCAAAACTGTGCTGGGTTGAATGCTCCTTTGAGACTAATTCCTTGAACACACACTTTGTTTTTTGGGTTTTTTTGTTTTGTTTTGGTTTGGTTTGGTTTTTTGTTTGAGATGGAGGCTCACTCTCTCGCCCAGGCTGGAATGCAGTGGCACGATCTTGACTCACTGCAACTTCCACCTCCCAGGTTCAAGCAATTCTTCTGCCTCAGCCTCCCAAGTAGCTGGGATTACAGGCACCTGCCACAATACCTGGCTAATTTTTGCATTTTTAGTAGAGATGGGGTTTCACCATGTTGGCCAGGCTGGCCTTGAACCCTTGACTTCATGTGATCCGCCCACTTTGGCCTCCAAAACTGCTGGGATTACAGGCGTGAGCGACCGTGCTTGGCCCTTGAACACACATTTTGGACAGGAAAGTCTTGCGTAATCTCAGAATCATCCTCTATCTCCCCGTGGCACCATGGCCAGAAGGGAGTTGTTCTCCATTCAGTCTCCACTCTAAGATATTACACTGGCAGCCAGGGAGGTTCAAGGTGGATCAGGGCCTGAACCCACTGCCATAACAGTGTCCTTTTGACATCTCTGTTGCCTTCTAAATCAGTGCTGGGGTTCCCACAGTTCCATGACCTATAACAGGGAGTTTCTTGTGGGCTGCGAGCCCCTAGGAAGATGACCCTCTCTGGTGAGACCAGCTTCCTTCCCCACAGCTTGCCTTGCCTGTGCAGAAGGAGTGAGGCAGAGGGTCTGCAGGCTCTACTCGCCCCCTTGCTTCACAAAGTATTTCCACCTGTATTCGTGAAGTTGACTGCTCCATCACCTGAGGTCTGCGTAAGGAGAAGGTGGAGCTGGGACTGCAGTCTGGCTTGGCCAGGGCTACTCCAGAAGTAGTGACAAGCACAGAGGCTCACCCAGGAAGGTGCTGGGGTGCTGCTGTCCATCCGGTGACACTGGATAACATTTGATTCTGAGCCCGTGTCACCTCCCTGGAACTGTCCCGACATGCAGGAGTCACGATAAACCATACTGTAGTCATGTTAAATTATTTGATCATTATAAAGATAAAACTCTTCTTTTGCAGTCATAGTTTGCAATTGACAGCTATTTTCATAGTTAAAACATCACTTTCTTAAATGATTAACACCATACGTTGCGACTTTGGTGCACTGTGTTGGAGTGATGGTCTGTTTTACCTTTCACGAGCTAATGAGAGAAGAACAGCGTAACATGTACATGAAGGTTTGCAGCAAGTAAAGTCCAATGATATTAACATCACTGAGCAAACGCAGGTTTCCCAGCAGTTTGGATACTTTAACGTGAAGATAAAGTGAAAACGACAGTAAGAAAGCCTAAGTTATGGTCAGACCATGCTTGAAATTGCACAAATGCATCATTTCCAGCATTCATTTGCTTTCCTTCCACAGCCTATGCTGAACTGAGATTTTTTTTTGTCTTTCTGCTGGGATTAATAACCAATTTTAATTTCTATTCCTGAGCCTGGCAGTATTAAACTAGGTATTTTTTAATGTAGATAACAACATCACCCTATTGCTAACTCTATTTGAGCAATGGTTTTACAGTGTGTAATGCTATCTCACTTAAATTGACATTTCAGGTTGCTTGGTAGCAGGATCTGGTTAAATACAAGGGTTGATGAATGTAAACCAGCTAACAAAGCCCTTACGTTAATCATGACATTTTGCAAAATACACTGATATGAAAAGACATTATCTATATTATTATTAAAGCTAAAAATACTAAAGCAGATTAAACATTAAACCAGACCTATGACTGCATTATTTTTTCCCTGTTAAAACAAACTTTAGAGATTGTATTTCAGCCAAAGAGCCTCATCCCTCACATTAAATTATTATACTCTACAGGGATTTGAGGTTTCGTTTGTACATATGTTTTCCTAGTTAAGTACAAGGAGTTCAACCTTTCACATACTTAAAGTACTTTGCATTTGTGTATTTAAAGTACTATTGCAATAAAAATAATGTAAATTTACACCAGAGGTGCATTTCTGAGCTGGGGCAAAGTGGTCATCTACAGGAGGGGTGGGGCGTGGAGGGAAATGGCAGAGGGGAGGGACGATATCGCCACCTGCCACCTGCCACCCATCACCTCCTAGCAGCTCCCAGGAAGCTTCAAGGACTGCCAAGGAGATCGTTTGTGCCACCCTGGGGCCCCATCAGGTGGAGGGAGGTGTTTGGACGCTGGGATCTCAGGGATCCTCTGGACAGGGACTAAAACACAAGGAACAGTGTTTTGTTTTTATTTTTGTTTTTTGAGATGGAGTCTCGCTCTGTCACCCAGGCTGGAGTGCAGTGGCACCATCTCGGCTCACTGCAACCTCTGCCTCCTGGGTTCAAGCGATTCTCCTGCCTCAGCCTCCCGAGTAGTTGGGATTACAGGCACACACCACCACAGCTGGTTAATTTTTGTATTTTTAGTGGAGACGGGGTTTCACAATGTTGGCCAGGCTGATCTCAAACTCCTGACCTCAAGTGATCCCCCTACCTCGGCCTCTCAAAGTGCTGGGATTACAGACATGAGCTACCACACCACTCAGCCAGGACTGGTGTTTTTATCCCTGTCATCATCACGCACACCTCCCGGTGTGTCCTTCCTCAGGCTGGCCCCGGAGCTTGGGGCGAGGGTGTTGGACAAGGGGATTCAAATGAGCAAATGCCACTGGGCCCTAGGGCCCAAAACAGTTCTTCCTCCTAAAGATCTAATACGGGAATAGACAATGAGAACTGTGTAATCCCTTCTGCTTCTGATCTTTCATAACTACCAGGAATATCGTACACATGGAATGCTCAAATACAAAGACAGTCTTTTCTCAGGTTCTGGTGAAAATATCTAACCCCCTCTGTTCTCATTCATTCACTCAGCAACATTTGTTGCTGTTGTTGTTTTATTTTGTTTTGTTTTTTGAGATAGAGTTTTCCTCTGTCACCCAGGCTGGAGCACAGTGGCGCGATCTTGGCTCACTGCAACCTCCGCCTCCCGGGTTCAAGCAATTCTCCTGCCTCAGCCTCCTGAGTAGCTGGGATGACAGGTGTGTGCCACCATGCCTGGCTAATTTTTGTATTTTTAATATAGACGGGGTTTCACCATATTGGCCAGACTGGTCTCAAACTCCTGACCTCATGATCCACCTGCCTTGGCCTCCCAAAGTGCTGGGATTACAGGCGTGAGCCACCGCACCTGACCTCAGCAACATGTTTTTAGGAGCAGGCTGTCAGCCCCGTGGGCTCCCGAGGTGGTGGGGTCACGGGTGCCTCCTGGAGGAGCCACAGACACCAGCCCAGGTAATGGGGGACTGCAGGGAACACCCAGCAGGACACAGAGGACGTCCAACTGTGGACACTGGGGCGGCATTTCCAAGAAGAGGCCTCTGAACTAAATCTGGGATAGGAGGACAAGAGGCCCTGCAGGCAGAAAGGCACCCAGCCGGGCACACGAGCCACCACAATGCGGGACAAGGGAGCAGGTGGTGAGGCGGGCACGGGGGAAGTGCAGTCGGTGAACCAGCAGCCGGCCAAGGGTGGCAACAGAGGTCTTCAGGCAGGCAAATGAGTCTCTACTTCGACGATGACACCATAACCCTGGCAACAAAAGTGGAGGAGGACAGAAACAGGGAGAAGCCAGTTTGGCAGCTGCTGGAATAGGTGGACGTGGAAGCAACGCAGGCCGGACCAGGGCAGCTCCATATTTCTGAGGTCACACCTAGGGCTCCATGACTCAGTGGGTTGGGAGGAAAAGATGGAAAAAGATAAGAATGATGCAAGGTTTTACCTTTAAAGGTTTTGACCTTTAAAAACCAGGTGAGTACTGACATAATGGGGGAAGAGAGAAAAGGGGGAAGTTTCTGAGTAGGAAGAGAAAAGGAAGAAAGTTCAGTTTGTACCTGTGAAGTTCAAGACGACTGATAGCAAGACTAGATGGAGTGGAATAGGTGGGTAAGGAGGTGAGAGAGGGATGTAGGCTTGAATCATTGGCATGAGCATGAGAAGCGATGCCATGGGAATGAGGGCAATTATCAAGGGAAACGTAGAACAAAGATGGCAAGTGCGTAGAGCACATGGCCCCACTCCTGCTCTCCGTTGCCCATGTCAGGCATTATCAATCAATCACAGCACTCTTCACGCACAGCCAAGGGCTGCAGACATCACTGGAAAAGGATTCCTGGAAGCAGGAATGGTCTGCAGCGTCAGATGCCGCGGTTAGCTCAAACAGGATGACGTCTGAAACAGGCTGGGGGATCAACATCTGGGAAGGCATTGATCTTTTCTTACCTCTCTCAAAGAAACTATTTTTTATTGTTGTTTTAATATTATGTTTATATTTTCTTTTATGAAAGTAACCTTCCAAAATTTGAAAATACTGAATCACACAAAGAAATGGTGAAATTATAGGTGATAATTTCCAGTCTTTTTGTGTGTGTGTCTCTACAGCTATACATAGTTGCAATCATACTGTATACACAATTTTTGTGTATTTCCTGATTTTTCACTGGATATTATAGCATTTCCAATTATTTATTTACCTTTTCTCTTCACTGTTAAGCATATGGGAAGTTTCCAAATTTTGTTGTTAAAATAATGTTTGTAATAAACTATTTTAAAACATAGTTTCCTTTGATTTTTAATATTTACTTAGAATAAATTTCTAGAAGTGTCCGAAATAAACATTTTAAGACTCTTGATATAACAAAATGCATTTCAGAAATGTTGTGCTGATTGGCACTCCCACCAGCAGAGAATAAAAGTATTTAAATGACTGCATGATTTTTAACTATCTTGTTTTTTTTCTTAAAGTGATGCAAATCCCTTTTGGAAACCAGAGTATAGTATAATAAACATACACACACCTAACATATATTTATATGTGTGTTATTTGCATACAATGTATATTTGTATAACTGTATATTTGTATACACATATATACAAAGAAATATCTTTCTCCAAATAATGTTAGTGATGGGGCACCAATATGAACGCAAAAGCCTTTCATCATCTCTTCTACAGGACAGCCATCATGAAACTAATTCCTTTCTCCCTTGTTTAGGGGAAAGGAAAAACAAACTAACATTTATGGAGCAAATTCTTTTTGTTGTTGTTGTTGTTTTGAGACAGAGTCTCACCCTGTCGCCCAGGCTGGAGTGCAGTGGCGCGATCTCAGCTCACTGCAAGCTCCGCCTCCCGGGTTCACGCCATTCTCCTGCCTCAGCCTCCCGAGTAGCTGGGACTACAGGCGCCCGCCACCAAGCCCGGCTAATTTTTTGTATTTTTTTTAGTAGAGACGGGGTTTCACTGTGTTAGCCAGGACGGTCTCGATCTCCTGACCTCGTGATCCGCCTGCCTCTGCCTCCCAAAGTGCTGGGATTACAGGTGTGAGCGGAGCAAATTCTTGACCTGGTATACCGTCAGTTCTTAAAAATGAATCAAGAAATGTGCCACTCTACTAGTGTCCATTTCACTCTTAGAGCAACTTGCACATGATGTAAGTAATATTTTCCTAGTTTTACAAAGAAAGGAAATAGACTTAACAAGGCTAATTCGCTTCCCCAAGGGCATGCAATTAGTAGGTGGTGAAATCAGAATTTACACTCACTCCCGTCTTCATTGAAACGTAGTGCTTAATTTCCTGTGAGCTGCACTGGAGAGAGCTCTATCCTTGAAAGGCAAGATTTTCTTGGTTCTTTCAAAGATGACATCAGAGGGGTGGTGCCTGCTGTTTTCTAAGACTCACTTCTGGTTTCTGGTTGATTAGTTCTTTAGGAGAAGGCTCCCAACCCTCAATAGGAAGCCCAGTCTCCAAAGGTGGCCAGAACACGGTCCCCTCTCTGTGGGCATTAGCCTGGATAAAAGCCAGCTCTGAGGTCATATTTATTATATGATTGTGTAATAAAAGCTCTTTACTGGTGAATTGGCCGCTGGCAGCATTTTCCTGAGAATTCGAGGGAATCAAGTGTACAGAATAACAAGAAAAACAGCGCCTTAGGAAGCGTCCCAAAGGAATGGAGGGAGCACCCGCCATAGGTGCCAGGGACACCCGTGGGTCGCGCCTGTTTGCCTGCACTCTCAACTCCCTTCCTCTAGCTGCTGGGTGTTACTTACTCTGCCAACAATTTGTTACATTGTGTTTTTTAAAACACTGTTCAGGCCGGGTGCGGTGGCTCACGCCTGTAATCCCAGCACTTTGGGAGGCAGAGACGGGCGGATCACAAGGTCAAGAGATCGAGACCATCCTGGCTAACATGGTGAAACCCCGTCTCTACTAAAAATATAAAAATTAGCCGGGCGTGGTGGCGGGCGCCTGTAATCCCAGCTACTCGGGAGGCTGAGGCAGGAGAATGGCGTGAACCCGGGAGGCGGAGGTTCCACTGAGCCAAGATCGCGCCACTGCACTCCAGCCTGGCGACAGAGCGAGACTCCGTCTCAAACAAAACAAAACAAGAAAACACAACACGGTTCAGATTGTCACTGCGCCCTGTGATGTGTCCTCTTTGCCGTAAGGAGTTGTTGTGTAGGTTTGGGAACAAGGGGTAGGGGCATCGCCTCTCCTGCCAGAGGGCGGTAGGACTGTCCGATGACACCTGGTTTCCATAGCACTCCCGACAAGCCCTAGGAGGCTGTTCTCCTTACACATAATTATTCTAGATCTCCCTCTTGTGGACCATCTATGAAATAAAAGACACCAGTCTTTTTTTTTTTTTTTAACAGAGGCTTGCTCTGTTGCCCAGGCTGGAGTGCAGTGGTGTGATCTCGGCTCACTGCAGCCTCCGCTTCCTGGGTTCAAGTGATTCTCCGGCCTCAGCCTCCTGAGTAGCTGGGATTACAGGCGCCCACTACCACACCCAGCTGATTTTTGTATTTTTAGTAGAGACAGGGTTTCACCATGTTGGTCAGGCTGGTCTCAAACTCCTGACTCCACCTGCCTCGGCCTCCCAAAGTGCTGGGATTACAGGTGTGAACCACGGCCCCCCCGCCCCCCCGCCAAAACCAATCATATTTAATAGATACAATGAAGAATGTTATAGGTTATAAGGAATTAATTTCTGTGAGTACTATTTCAACATGTAAGACCATTAGTTTTTTTGTTATGAAATATTACAGACTTTTTAAATGTATATAGAGAATAATATAAAAATACCCATGCACCCACAAACCAGCTTTATCAGATCTTAACATTTTGCCCCACATTTACTTCAGATCCTTTAAAAAGGTAAAATAGATACAGTTGAGGGTCCCTAAATATATCCTCTCCCTAAAGTAATCATGGTTCTGAATTTATCTGTATTACTCCCATACATATGTTTATACTTCTCTACATGTATGTGTGCCAATACAATGCACACTGCTGTTTTATATGTTTGAAATTTTATAAGAAGTTACTGTCACACTGCATGTATTATTCTGCAATCTGTTTTTCTCCCACAATATTATACTTTTGAAGTTTTTCCTTGTGTTTCTGTTTCATTCATTTTCCTCTTCTGTATGCTATTGGTTGTATAAATATCACAACATATTTACCAGTTCTCTTATTCTGGGACATTTAGGTTATTTCCATTTTTCCTCATAACAAACAATGCTGTGGTGAACACACTTGGCCTTGCCTCCTTGTCTGTATATGGGAACTTTTCTAGAATATCCTAAAAGGGGAGTGCTGGCTCATTATACTGGGCTTCTTCAGCTTTACTGCTCATAGAGGATGGTACTACGTTACCTTCCGACCGTCAGCAGAGCTCTTTCCTTTCCTGTCATCTGTCCTCCCAGTGGGCAGCCAGGTGGAAGGAGCAGTAGCCACCATTAATCGAGCCTTCACCATGTGCCAAGCACCAGGTTACACGAATTGCCTGAATTTTCTTGTTTTAAAATGACAACAATCTTATGGGGGCAGCATTAGCAAGCCTGGTTTACAGGAAATCAGAGAAGTCCCGGACGCTGCCCAAGGCCACACAGATAATGAACTGCAGAGCGGAAGTGAAACTGATGCAGCCTCACCTGTCTGATCCCGAGCTGCTATTTGACCACTGGGCTATAAAGATGGTGAAAGACTTACCTGTAGAATTCTGGGATGGCGGAGGACACATCTTCCTAGTGAAGTCTCTAAGCCAGTTTGGTGAGAGCTGAGAACGAAGATCAGAAGAAAGAGGCTGGGTGCGGTGGCTCATGCCTGTAATCCCGGCACTTTGGGAGGCTGAGGCAGGCAGATCACCTGAGGTCAGGAGTTCGAGACCAGCCTGGCCAACATGGCAAAACTCTGTCTCTACTAAAAATACAAAAATTAGCTGGGCATGGTGGCACATGCCTGTAATCCCGCGA
This sequence comes from Homo sapiens, assembly GCF_000001405.40. Lineage (NCBI taxonomy): Eukaryota > Metazoa > Chordata > Mammalia > Primates > Hominidae > Homo > Homo sapiens. Next base: position 151,935,105 of record NC_000007.14, read on the forward strand.
CTTGGGATGCTGAGGCATGAGAATCACTTGAACCCAGGATGCAGAGGTTGCAGTGAGCGAAGATCGCACCACAGCACTCCAGCCTGGGCAACAGAGTAAAACTCCATCTCAAAATAAATAAGTAGATAAAAATAGTTCGAAGAAAGAAGGAATAAGCCATTTAAATGTTTTAATTATGAAAGTCATTATTATACGTTCAAAAGAGTATATTTAATGTTAATGTATAAATAAGGAACAATAATAAAATGAACAGATGGCAAGAAAGGAGTGAGAGAAATGGAAATTAAAGGTATCTAGATACCTAAGAAAAATAGACTTCAGTGTGAGAAAATAGCAGTGGAGGATCTGACAGCATGCATCCGTTTTCCTTGCAATTACTCAGGCTCAGCGAGTGTTTTTCGACAGTGCAGGAGTCTAAAGCTGCTTTGCCGTGTGCTCAGAACAGCTGACCTAAATCTGGCAGGACAGAGGAGTGGGGACCATCACATCAATGAGAAAAGGTGGAGTGTGCACCTGCCTGGAGACAAAGCAGAAATGGAAATAAGGGCCAGGTGGAAGACAAGAAGAGGGAAAAGGAAGTGTATTCTCCAGCTGGTCTCTCTGCTCAGCCCTGCAGGAGCTGGGAATTCCTCCTGAGCTCCCTGGGGAGCTGTCTGTTTTGCCCTGGTTTGACCAGAGCCTGACCTGAGCACTTTGCTTTTATTTCTCCCTGTTGTGTGTGTGTGTGTGTGTGTGTGTGTGTGTGTGTGTGTGTGTGTGTTTGTTTGTTTTTGAGATGGAGTCTCGCTCTGTCGCCCAGGCTGGAGTTCAGTGACATGATCTCGGCTCACTGCAACTTCTGCTTCCCGGGTTCAAGCAATTCTCGTGCCTCAGCCTCCCAAGTAGCTGGATTACAGGCATGTGCCACCACGTCCAGCTAATTTTTGTATTTTTAGTAGAGATGGGGTTTTGCCATGTTGACCAGGCTGGTCTCGAACTCCTGACCTCAAGTGATCCACCCGCCTCAGCCTCCCAAAATGCTGGGATTACAGGCATGAGCTACCGGCCCCAGCCTCTCTCCTTTTATTTTTAAGGAACTAAGTAATGCAAAACTCAACGGGCCTAGTATGCCATCTGGTAGTGAACGTCTAGTTGAATTAAAGATGAAAAGTGCTAGGGTGTTTGTATTGTTTCGACTAAGACACAGAGGTATAAGTTGTATTTTAGAGTTGTTCATGTTTACTTTACTTGAAAACGAAATGACTTCCAAAATAGAGGAGTCAAAACAAACCAGAAGTGAAAGTTAGCAAGTATTACAGGAAGTGGAAAGGAAACGAATGTGTTGCTATGGAAGTGAAACTGCTTTTTAAACAGCGCATCAAGAGCAGAGTGGGTAAAGCAGGTAGTTTTCTTGGCATGAGTAAAGGATATAGGTCATCTTATGTGCTTTTATACAATAAAAGTATAACTGATACCTTGATCTTAACTTTGTTAAACTGTGAAAAGAGAAAGAACTTGGTGATGTTAAGATACCTCGATACCTTTAGCTTCATCAAAAATGGGTCACGTGCCTTAACCTTGACTTACTCATTTTTCCTACCTTCACGCCTATCATTTCCCCACTTAGAATGCCTTTATGCTACTCAGATTTCCCATCAGAATTTCAACCATCCTATTAAGGACTTTGAAAACCTGACTTAATTGTTTTTTGTTTTTTGGGGTTTTTTTTGAGACAGTCTCACTCTGTCACCCAGGCTGGAGGGCAGTGGTGTGATCTCAGCTCACTGCAACTTCTGCTTCCCAGGTTCAAGTGATTCTCCTGCCTCAGCCTCCTAAGTAACTGGAACTACAGACATGTGCCACCAAGCTCAGCTTATTTTTGTATTTTTAGTAGAGACGGGGTTTCGCCATGTTGGCTAGGCTGGTCTCGAACTCCTGACCTCAAGTGGTCCGCCCGCCTCAGCCTCGCAAAGTGCTGGGATTATAGGCATGAGCCACTGCGCCTGGCCCTGATTTAAATTTTTTATGGAAGTATAAAAATCCATGAAATGCTAAGTCAAACTTGCTCAACTAGGAATTAAGATACAACACAAAACCAAGGACAGACACACAGACCAGGGGAACAGGAGAGGGAGCCCAGAGAGAGACTATATTACATGGGAATCATTACATGATAAAGACAGCCCAGGAATCAGTGGGGAAAGGACGAGTTACTTGTGGATATTTAGAAGTCATTTCAGTGTCTGCAGGGGTAAAAAACCAACATCACATACATAGGACTATTCAAAATGAAGCCAATACCGAATATGAACAGTAAAATGATAAGTTAACAGAATATGGTGATGACACACTTCCTTGCGATCCAAGGGTGGGGAAGGACCTCTTAAAATTTCAAAACACAAGCTGTAAGCAAAAAAAAAAAGGAAGATGATTTTTAGTACATCAGAATGAAAAATTTCTGGTCAACTAGTGGCCCACTGACAAAGTTAATTCAGGCTTTTATTCAACATGCTTGGCTTTATGGCACTTCCCAGATGTTGCATTTCTTACAAATAGAAGGTTTGTGGCAGCCCTGCTTTGAGCAAGTCTGTTGGTGTCATTTTTCCAACAGCACATGCTCAGTTTATGTCTCTGTGTCATATTTTGGTAATTCTTGCAGTATCTAAAACTTTTTCATTATTATATCATTGTGATGATCTGTGATCAGTGGTCTTTGATGTTACTACTGTAGTTGTTTTGGGGGTCCCATATAAGACAGTGAACTTAATTGATAAATGTTGTATGTGTTCTAATTGGTCCACCAGCTGGCCATTCCTCTGTCTGTCTCCCTCATCTTGTGCATCCCTGTTCCCTGGGGATTGAAATTAGGACAATTAATAACCCTGCAATGGCCTCTAAGTGTTCAAGTGAAAAGGAGAGTCACAGGCCTCTGACTTTAAATCAAAAGGTAGAAGTAATTAAGCTAAGTGAGGAAGGCATGTCGAAAGCTGAGATAGGCCCCAAGCTAGGCATCTTGTGCCAAACAGTTAACCAAATTGTGAGTGCAAAGAAAATGTTCTTGGCCAGGCACGGTGGCTCACGCCTGTAATCCCAGCATTTTGGGAGGCTGAGGCGGGCGGCTTACTTGAGGTCAGGAGTTCAAGACCAGCCTGGCCAACATGATGAAACCCCATCTCTACTAAAAATACAAAAATTAGCCGGGCGTGGTGGTGTGCATGGTGTGCACCTGTAATCCCAGCTACTTGGGAGGCTGAGGCAGAAGAATCACTTGAACCTGGCAGGTGGAGGCCGCAGTGAACTAAGATCATGCCACTGCACTACAGCCTGGGTAACAGAGCAAGACTCCATCTCAAAAAAAAAGTACTTAAAGGAAATTAAAACTGCTACTCCAGGGAACACACAAATGATAAGAAAGTGAGACTGCCTTATTGCTGATACAGAGAAAGTTTGAGTGGTCTGGATAGAAGATCAAAGCAGCCACAGCATTCTCTTAGGCCAAAGCCGAATCCAGAGAAAGGTCCTAACTCTCTTCCACTCTGAAGGCTGAGAGAGGTGAGGAAGCTGCAGAAGGAAGTTTGAAGCTTTTGAACCTCATTGGTTCATGAGATTTAAAGAGCGAAGCCAGCTCCATAAAAAAGTGTAAGATGAAGCAACAAGTGTTGATGGAGAAGCTGCAACAAGTTTTCCAGAAGATCTAGTTAATTAAGATCATTGATGAAGACAGGAGCACTAAACAACAAATTTTCAATGTAGACTAAACAGTCTTCTATTGGAAGAAGATGCCATCTAAGACTTTTCATAGCTAGAGAGAAGACATCAATGTCTGGCTTCAAAGCTTCAAAGGATAGGCTGACTCTCTTGCTAGGGGCTGATGCAGCTGGTGTCTTTAAGCTGAAGCCAGTGCTCACTTGCCATTCTGAAAATCTTAGCGTCCTTAAGAATTATGCTGAATCTATTCTGCCTGTGCTCTAGAAATGGAACAACAAAGCCTGAATGACTACACAACTGCTTACAGCATGGTTTACTGAATATTTTAAGCCCGCCGTTGAGACCTACTGCTCAGAAGAAAAGATTCCTTTCAAAATATTACTGCTCATTGACAATGCACTTGGTCACCTATAAGCTCTGAGGGAGATGTGCTAGGAGATAAATGTCGTGTCCCTGCCTGCTAACACGATCACCATTCTCTGCCCATGGATCAAGGACTAATTTCTACTTTCAAGTCTTATTATTTAAGAAATAGATTTAATAAGGCTATAACTGCCATAGATAGTGATTCCTCTGATGGATCTGGGCAAGGAAAATTGAAAACGTCTGGAAAGGATTCACCATTCTAAATGCCATTAGAAACATTCGTGATTCATGGGAGGAGATCAAAATAATAACATTAAGAGGAGTTTGGAAGAAGTTGATTCCAGTCTTCATGGATGACCTTGAGGGGTTGAAGACTTTAGTGGAGGAAGTCACTGCAGATGTGGTGGAAATGCAAGAGAAATAGAAGATGGGACTGAACTGCAATTTCATGATCAAACTTGAAAGGATGAGGAGTTGCTTCTTTTGGATGAGCAAAGAACGTGGTTTCTTGACATGGAAACTACTCTTGATGAAGAAGCTATGAACACTGTTAAAACGACAACAAAGCATTTAGAATATTACATAAGCTTAGCTGACAAAGCAGTGGCAAGGTCTGAAAGGACTGACTCCAATTTTCAAAGAAGTTCTACTCTGGGTAAAATTCTATCAAACAGCATCACATGCTACAGAAAAATCTTTTTGTGAAAGGAAGAGTCAGGGGAAGGGCAGGGGTAGAAAAAAATTAAAAAAGAAGAGTCGATGGATACAGCAAACTTCATTACTGTCTTATTTTAAGAAATTCCACAGCCACCCCAACCTTCAGGAACCACCACCCTGATCAGTCAGCAGCCACCAACATCGAGGCAAAACCCTCCACCAAAGGAAGATTACAACTCCATGAAGGCTCAGATAATTGTTACCATTGTTTAGCAATAAAGTATTTTTAATTAATACAGTACATTTTATACATAATGCTATTGCACACTAAATGGACTACAGTATAGAAACATAACTTTTATATGCACTGGGAAACCACAAAAATGTGTGACTCACTTTATTGCAATATTTGCCTTATTGCAGTAATCTGGACTGAACCCACAACATCTCTGAGGTATCCCTGTAGACAGAGGACAGAATGGGAGAACACGCTTGCAATATCCAAAGCTGACAAGGGACTAGTGCCTAGAAAATTCAAGGAACTCATGCAAATCAAGAGGAAAAAGACAGAAAGTGGAAAAAGGGATAAGATGTAGATAGGCAATTCATAGAAGAAGACACCCCAAAGAGCACCAAACAAGAAGAGAAGCTTAGCTTCATCCGAAATCAGAGAAGCGCAGATGAAAACCATGTTCCTTTGCATCCGTTCATGGCTGGGTCCCTGCCAGAGCAGCCTGGACCAAGTACTGGAGCTGGACTCAGGACAGCCCATGGATGAGGCTGCCAGCAACAGAGGAGTTGTCTTGTCTAGCTCAGAAAGATTTTTTTATTGGGAATCTGTTTGGCAAATTGAAAATTAGATTAGTGAGTTAGAAGGGAAGAAAGATAAGAGGGAGAGCCAGAGCAAGAGGGCCCGGGAGGGTGCAGGGCGGAGTGGGGGGCGCTGGGCGTGGGCACACGCTGGAGCATCCAGTGGGGGCTGTGGGAGGTGAAAGCCAGGGCCCCAGAGAGGAGACTCAAGAGATGCTGGGAGAGCGGCCACCAGTCCTGGGCCACTTCAGTGTTTCTCAGCTCTGCTCTTGGATTTTTAATATAATTTTGTTACTGGGGGAGGGTGTCCAGGTTCTTGGCATTTTGAACAAAGAATTGGACAAAACATACAAACAAAGCAAGGAAAGAATGAAGCAACAAAACCAGAGACTTATTGAAAAGGAAAGTACACACCACAGGGTGGGAGTGGGTCCAAGCAGTGGTTCAAGGGCCCTGGATAGAGAATCTACTCAGGTCTAAATACCCCGTAGAGCTTTCCCATGGGCCACACTTCATGCTCACCCCATGTAAATGAAGAGGTGGCCCGCAACCAATCAGAGGCTGAAATGAAGCTACAAAGTTACTCTCTTCTTCAAACATCTGATTGGTTGCAGAAAGCAACCAATCAGAAGTACTTGCAATTTCCCATCTCCGGGGCACAGAAAAGGTGGGGGTTTGCAACGGGAGTAGCCTCTGGTCCTTTTGTTACTTAGGCATGGAAAGAGGGTTTTCCTTTCAGTCTAGTTCCAGGAAGTCAGCGTGAAACGGCCTAGGTTCCCTGCCTCCAGACCCTATTCTCCTGCCTCAATTTTGCTGGCTATCTTCAGGAACCCTCCTACCTCCCCACCCCATGCAGATACACCCCTTTATTTGAATTAGCTTAGTGGATACCTTTTCCTTGCACCCCAAAAGAGACAAGAATCAAAGGGCCAAGGATCCCAGAACACAGGACTGGGGCTGAAGCAGTGTGGAGGGAGGAACTTGCAGTTATTGGAGCAAGGCCCCCAAATACTGAATAAAAATCATTCAAAGACTTTTACAGCTAGGCAGTCAGTGATGTTTTAGGACTTATAATATCTAAAATATCTTACCTGCTGTTCCATAGGGAGGGCTGTAAGTGCAAATCATCCCCCATATGCAGAAGGAGCCAAGAAACCAAAGGAGGGGGCACACAAATCCAGTTTGTCAGTTTGGGGTGATTTCTTAGGGGAACTAACAGACAGAAGCGTGGTCATGGGCAGTGCAAAACAGGTAGATCTCCACACTGCAACCCCCCAGAGCCAGGGCAAAAGTAGACCTCAGGGGAAATGTAGGTGCTTCGGGCATCACAGCGTATGATTTCTACAACAAAATCAAGAGTTGCTTTGGAGGAAACTTAACAATGAGTGGATGTTCTTACATAAAGAGTAACACATCAGCCAAACGCATTGTCTCACACCTGTAATTCCAGCACTTTGGGAGGCTGAGGTGGGCAGATCACCTGAGGTCAGGAGTTCAAGACCAGCTTGGCCAACATGGTGAAACCCTGTCTCTACTAAAAATACAAAAATTAGCCGGGCGTGGTAGTACACACCTGTAATCCTAGCTACTTGGGAGGCTGAGGCAGGAAATCACTTGAACCTGGGAGGCAGAGGTTGCAGTGAGCCGAGATCGCGCCACTGCACTCCAGCCTGGGCGACAGAGCCAGACTCTGTCTCAGAAAAAAAAAAAAGAGTAACACGTCAAGTCGACATTTTGGAGCCATTCTCAGATTTGGGCTTAGCCAGGTGGTAAAATAAGGTCACTCTTGCGCCCATACCTCCCATCCCCATTTCTTGGAAAAATTCTGGAGTAGATGCTGCACTGAAACAAATGAGTAAACTTAAAAGGTAGAAGCCAAGATACAGGGAATAGACCACACACACACACACGCATGCACACACACACACGTGCAAAAGGAAGTACGACACAGGAGAAAGGCAGGGGGATGATGGAGAAGGGAGATTTTGTAGTGACACTGGGGCAGCCTGTCTAGACTGGGCTCTGGATGGAATGTTTATGAAAAGAGAAAAAGGAAGGGGGAGAAAGAAAAGGAGAAAGGAGGGGAAGAAGGAAAGGAGGAGGGAAAAAAGAGGATCATCTCATTCAATAACCCCTGTGCTAGCTGCTTCTATTATCATTATTATTTTTTTTTTTTGAAACAGAGTTTCGACCCACCCATGCTGGAATGCAATGGCATGATCTTGGCTCACTGCAACCTCCACCTCCCAGGTTCAAATGATTCTCCTGCCTCAGCCTCCCAAGTAACTGGGATTACAGGTGTGCACCACCATGCCCAGCTAATTTTTGTATTTTAGTAGAAACGGGGTTTTGCCATGTTGGCCAGGCTGATCTTGAACTCCTGACCTCATGATCCACCCGCCTCCGCCTCCCAAAGTGCTGGGATTACAGGTGTGAGCCACCGCACCCTGCCTATTCTTAACCTGTTTTGTTTGTTTAACTCAAGGTGTGACTTTCCCGGAGGCAATCAGTCTGTCAAAGGGATTGGTTGGGCCTGGGAAGACAGTCAGTGTTGTTCTGAGATAGTCTTGCTGGCAATGTAGTTAATTTTTAAGATTTGATAATTCGATAATTAGGAATATCTGAGTTACTGACCAGGGGAAGTCAATTACTGATCATGGTCCCCAGTGACTCTTCCAGCTTGGATTTTGTGTTATTTTAAGGGAAAGCTACAGAAGATTCAAGAAAAAATGACATTGTGATTATTTTAGAAAAATGTCCGTGGAGGATGGAGATTCATCTCAGCTTCCATGGAGATTGCATCAAAGCAGACAAAAGCAACACAATGGTCAAAGATATAGAAGACCTCTTGGGTTCATTGGAATTCTATTTGGCCACATCCCACCAGACCAGCTCCCAGTAGCTGAGATCCTGTTTGCTTTAAATACATTTCATTTTGAGAACAATCCCCAAGAATGTACATATCACTTTCCTCCACTTTCTTCATTTGTCTGATTTCTCACAATGTTGCCTGAAAAGATGACTATTTGGCTCATGAACTAAGCTATCAACATCAAAAGTTTCCAAATGGACTGCTTCTCATCACATGATTCACATTTTGAATAACTAACCTGGGGCCCTAGGGTTTTTCTAACTTTCAAATTTAGAGTATCTTCGTTCAGCAGATGTTCTTTCCATCCCATAACCAGAGTTTGCTAGTTTTTTACTAATTGCAGACAAAACTGATCATTCACTCGAGGCCACTGATTAACATCTACCGCAAAAAAAAAAAAAAAGAATTTTGTATGAATTATCTAGGGAAACTGACCTCTTTTGATCAAATCCATCCATGGGAATTGAACCAAAGAATTTGCCTTGAAAAAACATCTCTTGCCCTTTTGAAGACGTAGGCAGCTGTAGAAGAGGACTGTGGACTCTCTTCCTGTGTCCTAGCCTAACACAGGGCTCGGCACACCGTGCCATTAGCTAGTGCAACCGGGTATCACACAGAATGTACTTAAAGATGAAAACAGCATCTTCCCCCTTCCGCAAAAGATTCACATTTTGCTTTTTCTGGTTTGGAATAGAAGCAATCAGCATGTGGTCTATCGAATAAGATGATCCTCCCTGGATATTAGCCAAGGGAAGTCCTCTGCCTGACACTTATTATAGATTCCCCCTCCTCCCCAGCCCCACAGCCCCAGCCCCGGGCCCACGCTTTGAGATGGTAAGCGCTTAATTTCTTTTCTTTCCTTTTTTTTTTTTTTTTTTTTTGTTTGAGACAGAGTGTCGCTCTTTCGCCCAGGCCGGAGTGCAGTGGTGCGATCTCGACTCACTGCAAGCTCCGCCTCCCGGGTTCACGCCATCCTCCTGCCTCAGCCTCCCAAGTAGCTGGGACTACAGGCGCCCGCTACCACGCCCGGCTAATTTTTTGTATTTTTAGTAGAGACGGGGCTTCACCGTGTTAGCCAGGACGGTCTCGATCTCCTGACCTCGTGATCCGCCCACCTCAGCCTCCCAAAGTGCTGGGATTACAGGCATGAGCCACCGCGCCCCGCCGGTAAGCCCTTAATTTCTAATGAAAGCCTCTGAAATTACAACCCAGTTGGTGAGTTTCCTGAGATAACAGCCCACCTCCATGGAGAAAGTTTACTACATGGTTATTGGGGAAAACATTGCTTGTACTCTGAGATGATCAGATCCCACATGATGGATGGCTGGGTACCCAGAGTGGACGGGAACTGGATTCTTCTGAAGGGGTTTTAAGACAAAAAAGAACATGGGTTGGGAAGGTTGACGACTAAGATACAGAGGAACTTGGAGGTCAGAAGGGTGTGTTGGGAACATAAGAAGGTCTGCAGGCCTTTCCCACTACAGCAGAATCAGACAGAATGCACTGGAATTTTTGCATAGATGAGCCCATAGTGGTTGGAGGGAGTCAGGAAGTAAGTCCACTTTAGTAACTTTTAATTCCCTTTTTTCCCTCCTCCCCACTTTGGTTTTTCTTTTTTTCCCTATAGATAGTCACATTTGACATTGTTTACCAATTCTGTTGTCTTGCTCTAAGCATCATAATTATGTGAGAATGTATCTAGCAAGTGCCTGTTAGCACCTGTCATATACCACGAGTGTGTCATAGAACATGTCTTAAAACTACAGAAATTTATCTTCTCTCAGTTCCAGAAGCCAGGAGTTGACACCAAGGTGTCAGCGGGGCTGTGCTTCTCTGAGACTCAGTGGAAAATCCTTCCTCGCCGCTTCTAGCTCCTGGTGTTGCCAGCCACGCGTGGTGCTCTGTGGCTTGTAGACGCACTGCTCCAGCCTCTGCTTATCACCATGGCGGGGGCGTTCTCCTTGTATGTCTCATTTCACGTGGGAAGACGAGACACAAGCCTGGGGTTCTGCCCTCTGAGAGCTACCAACTCTCAAAAATGGGTGGGATGGTTTGCAAAAATGGGCAAATCTTATTCCTAAGTGTTTTTTCCTGCTTTCTCTCCTTCTTTCTTTCTTTCTTTTTCTTTTCTTTTCTTTTTTTTTTTCTTTTTGACAGGGTCTTGCTCTACCACCCAGGCAGGAGTGCAGTGGCGCAATCACAGCTTACTGCAGCCTGGATCTCCCAGGCTCAAGCCATCCTCCCATCTCAGCCTCCTGAGTAGCTGGAACTACAAGTGCACACCACCATGCCTGGCTAATTGTTTGTATTTTTTGTAGGGACAATATCTCACTATGTTGCCCAGGCTGGCCTGGAACTTTGCCTGCTTTCCTTCAGCGTGCATCCCCTTTTCTGCTTCTCTGCCCTTTCTTCTAAGTGTTGCTTTTCTTCCTCAGGAGACACAAGACCAGAGACGGCTTTCCTGGCTCACATTTTGAAGTTTGATCTGTTTCCTTTTCCTTCTCAACCTGAGAATAAAGCTCATGGGTGCTTTGTTTCTCTCCGTAATTGTTACGTTAGAATTGGCTAGGATGGAACTCGCCTACTAATTGGAGAGAAAATGTACAGTGTCCTCTTCCTAATCCTCTTTTAGCTACGAGGAAATTTCCAGGCTTTGTGGTCACTACCGCAGAACTGACCTCCATGGTTTACTTCTACCTACTCTCTGCCACCTTCCCTGCCCTCTATAACTTTTATCTTTCTCTTCCCAACTTCCTCCCTTAAGCTCCTGCCAGCTACCTGCTTTGTGTCATGACTTTATGCTATGCCTTTTTTTATTTTTATTTTTTTACGTTTATATTTTATTTTATTTATTATTATTATTATACTTTAAGTTTTAGGGTACATGTGCACAACATACAGGTTTGTTACATATGTATACATGTGCCATGTTGGTGTGCTGCACCCATTAACTCGTCATTTACATTAGGTATATCTCCTAATGCTATCCCTCCCCCTTCCCCCAACCCCACAACAGGTAGGGACATGGATGAAGCTGGAAACCATCATTATCAGCAAACTATCGCAAGGACAAAAAACCAAACACCGCATGTTCTCACTCATAGGTGGGAATTGAACAATGAGAACACTTGGACACAGGAAGGGGAACATCACACTCCGGGGCTATGCCTTTTTTAAACATTATCCTTTCCCCTTATGAATTGATTCTGGCAACTACATCCCCTGACATTGGTCCAGTGTTCTTTCCTTGACACCAGGCTGTAGCAGCTCAAGTCTGTACCATGTAATTCAACACTTTTAATCTTGTATCTTCCCCTAATTCCTTCATGTGGTTATTCTAGCTTCCCAGTAACCCTTTAGCAATACCTGGGCAGCATCCACATCTCATACGTCCTTTATATCACAGAAAAATACTGAATATCTAGCTTGTTCTCAGTGTTACATTGTTTATTTCACTTGACACCATTCACTTATTTTTCATCTTTATCCTTTTCTTTCATGTCTCTTGTATTTGGGGTAGGCTGAACCCCTTTTCAAGAATATCCGAAATATAATGAAGCAAGAAGATAAGACTCTATTTCTTGCTCACTTGGATATTCCATGTTGCTCCACGTGGTCATTCAGGAACCAGGCTGATGGTGGCTCTGCCATCTTGAACACGTGGTTTCCAATGTTGTGTTGATTGTCATCACCCCAGGAAGAACATAGAAGGAACCTCTGGGGAGGCTTTTGGGTCAGGCCTGGCAGTGGTGCAGGTCACTTTTGCTCACCTGCTATGGAAGAGATGGTAGTCATGGTCACCACCAGCTGAAACAGGGGGAGCATATGCCCAGCTTGGAGGAGAGAAGAGGAGAATCGAGTAGGAGGAACAGCCAGCGTTCTCTTCCACAACCCTGGTCCTCCCCATCCCATCATGTTGTTCCTTGTATTCTACTAAAGTATTATTCTTGAATGCAGCTCTGTTGAGCAGCTGCATGTGAGAAGACATGTTTCTGCAACAGAGATGTGCATCGGGCAGCTCAGGCTGCCATAATAAAGACCTCAGACTGGGGCTTAAACAGCAGAAACTTATCCTCTCACAGCTCTGGAGGCCGCAGCTCCAAGATCAAGGCCTCCGCGGGTTCAGCTTCTTCTGATGCCTGTCTCCATGGCTTGTAGATGCCATCTTCTCCCTGTGTCCTCACAGGGTCGTCCCTCTGTGTGTGTCTGTGTCCTGATCTCTTCTTCTAAGGACACCAGTCATGTTGGGTCAGGGCCCACTCATTTGGTCTCATTTTAATTGTCTCTTTCAAGACCCTGTTTCCAAACACAGTCACATTCTGAGGTACTGGGAGTTAGGACTTCAACATATGAGTTCTGTGGGGGAAACGGTTCAGCCCATAACAAGATGATACCTAGAAGAATGAAATGCAACCAGTATCGGCAGGAAAAACGCTATGGGCTTCTCCTCTCTCCCTTCTCTCTCTCTGTGAGTGTGTGTGTGACTGTGTGTGAGAGTGAATGTGTGTAAGTGTGTGAGTGTATGTGTGTGTGAGTGTGTATGTGTGTGATTGCAAGTGTGTGAGTGTGTGTGAGTGTATGTGTATTGTATGCATGTATGTGTGTATATGTGTATGAGGGTGGGTGTGTGTGAATGTGTGTATGTGTATGTGAATATGTGTGTATGTGTATGCGTGTAATGTGTGTATGTATGTGTGTGTGAATGTGTGAGTATGAGTTTGTATGTGTATGTGTGTGTGAATGTATGTGTGTATATGTGTATGAGTGTGTGTGAATGAGTGTACGAGTATATGTGTATGTGAATGTGTGTATGTGTATGTGTGTGTACGAGTGTGTGTCCAAATGTGTGTGTATGTATGTGTATGTGTGTATGAGTGTGTGAGCGAATGTGTGTGTATGTATGTGTGTATGAGTGTGTGTGAATGTGTATGTGTGTATGTGTGTATATGTATGAGTGTGTGTGAGTGTGTGTGTGGAATCTCCTACAGTACTTTTACTTGCTAACTATCTTGATAGTATCCTCAAAGTTCTCTTTATGATAATTATCTGAAAGGCCCGCTGAAATTGGCTCTGTAGGGAATGCTGAGAGAAGGCCACACAGCTAATTCACCCTGGCCATTCCTCAAAAGGGGTGGCCACCTGTCCTGCTCCCGTGCAAGGAAAGGGGCAACCCGGTACCGTGGGTTCTTTGGCACCCTTTCTCTGCAGGTGTGGGAGTGGATGTCTGCAACTTCCAATCACACTGCTGTTTTCATGATTCAGTTCAGGATTCCCGGCTCTGGGTCAGAATTTCAAAAAATACAATGATGAACACCACAGTCCCTTCCCTCCAAGAGCTCACAGGCTGATAGGGAGGACAGACCATCAGTTGTTACTGGTTTTGCAGTTAACTGGCAGCACATTTAAATTATAACAGCTCCACATAATAGCAGGTACACAGTGTGACAGGCCTGTCCTAGGGTCTCCCTGAAAAGACAGTGGTTCAATTTTCTTACACAGCCCCCTCCAGATTGTTCACCAGCTCCTCTCTTGCAGGTTTTCTAAGAGTTACAGCATGCCTGAAGACTTCTCTAAACTCTCCATCTGTACAAGCACCTGGGAAGTCAATACTATTATCCCTTCTTAGAGATCAGAAGCTCAGGCCCAGAAGGGGTTACATTTGCTCACGTTATTAAGGCTGAATGAGATCATGTAGTTCCCCGGCTCTGCAGATGGCTTTTTAGCTGAGAAATTTTTCCTCATATGAAATCTTAAGTGGAAGCCCCATATGTAAAACAGATAAAGGCAGAGATGTTCCGGCTGAAAGAGGAGTACGACCCACCCCACTCCCAGGACCCAGAAGCACCCAGGCCAATCCCGAGGGACCCAAAGAGTATGTCTGAAAACATCCTCCTTTGACAAGTGAGGCAACCGAGGCCAGAAATGGAGCAGCACAGGAGTCCTGACTTGCCATCTGGTGTGATATCCACAGCACGAGAGACACGGCCACACAGTACATACAGTACATAGTGCCCAGCCCTTCCCCAAAAGAGCCTTCAGCCATTTGTCAGTTTGACTGTGCCTTGGAAAAAAAGGGAATACCCTGACTTTTCAAAAATGGTTAGGCGCCGGGCCTGGTGGCTCATTCCTGTAATCCCAGCACTTTGGGAGGCCAAGGCGGGTGGATCACCTGAGGTCAGGAGTTCAAGACCAGGCTGGCCAACATGGTGAAACCCTGTCTCTAGTAAAAGTACAAAAAAATAGCTGGGCATGGTGGCAGACGCCAGTAATCCCAGCTACTGGGGAGGCTGAGGCAGGAGAATCACTTGAACCTGGGAGGCAGAGGTTATGGTGAGCCAAGATCACGCCATTGCACTCCAGCCTGGGCAACAAGAATGAAATCCATCTCAAAAAGAAAAAAAAAAAGAGGTTAGATATATCAAGTTCTTCTGTTCTGGGGGGATAAAAAGGGAAAAAATGGTTAGTCGTGGGTCCACCAGGAACTGTTAGATGTGATGTCTAGTCCTGATTTCAGAGGATCTGAAACAGCATCACAAGCCCCTATTAGAGTGGGGACTTGAAGTGGCCAGGTGATAAATGGCGTTTTACCTAAGTTTGAATGACAGTGAGTTGATGGGCCCACGGATCTTCTCTGCAGTTATTTCTCTGGTCCCTAAGTGTATAATTTGGATAGACATACCTAGCGATTGGTAGAATCTTTAAATTGGTTCCCTCACCTGTGTAAGAAGGATCATTACAGAAGAGTCAGCCAAGAGGAAGCCCCTGAAACTTCCCATCCCCACTCCTTGCACACCCTTCCAAGACAGTAAATCAGAAGCAAAAACCACCACATTCCAGGAACAGTTGCAGAGATCAACACCATCAAAGACTTAAAAGATGCAGGAGTAGTGGTCCCGTCATATCCCCATTCACCATCCCTGTAGGGCCCCTATCAAAATCAACTGGACCGTAGCAAATGACAGTAACTGTCTTAAACTTAATCAAGTGGTAGCCCCAGTAGTAGATGTGCTGTCTTCAGTGGGCTTTGGCACTTGGTATGGAGCACTTATTCTGGAAAATTCATTCTTCTTTATCCCCATCAATAAAACAGTCTGCCCTTACGTGGTCGGGATGGCACAATCCACTAGACTTCCCCAGGCTGTGTAACCTTCTTCTCTCTGTCACATGTGATCTGCAGGTACAGTGCTCATCCAGACCTTCCACACACATCATGCTGTTCCGCCATATTGATGTTGTCATATCAGTTAGACCTGGTGCCGTAGGAAGACACTCAGGAAGACACATGTGCACCAGATGGGAGATACACCCTATGAAGATTCAGGAGCTTCAACACTGAAGCTTTTAGAAGTCCTGTAGTCTGTGGCATGCCAAGACAGCGATTCTAAGATAAAGGACAAGTTGTTGCCCTTTGCGGCTCCTACCAAGAAAAAGGCACAGCATAGAGTGAACCTCTTTGGATTTTATAGGTGGCACAGACTTCACATAGGAGTACAGATCCAACCCATTCTGGGAGTAACTTGAAAAGCTGCCAATTTCAGGTAGGCTCAGAGGAGAAAGCTCTGCAACAGATCCAGGCTACAGGTTGCCCTCCCACTCCAGCTGCATGACCCAGCAAATGGGATGGTGCCAGAGGGACCTGTGATGAATGAGGACACTGTTGCAGGGTGGCAGGTGGTTTCTGGCAAGCCCCATAGGAGAGCTATTCTGCAGACTTATTAGAGTTTGAGAGCATGGATATGCCTCTCTAAAAACAGCTCCTGGCTTGAACCCTGATAGACACTGAGCTTCTGATCATTAGATACCAAATGGCTGTGTGACTACAGCTGCCCATTACAAGGTGGGTTTTATCAGAGTCACTGAGGGATAAGGTCAGGTGGGCAGAGCAACAATCCACCAAATGATGGGAAATGTTATACACCTGAGAGGGTGAGTTGGCCTGAGGTACAAGGATACCTGGAGCCTTGGTCAGTAGGAAATGTCCTGGGATTGGAAAGAGTACAATGGAAAGACCAGAGGCAACGAAAGCCTAAGAAAGGAGCTTACTTATCCCTTTTCAGTCCGGAGATTGGAAAGAGGATGATGGAAAGACCAGAGGCAAAGAAGTCTGAGGATGGACCCATGCTGGTGGCACAAACTGAGCACACCATAGTGCCTCGAGTTAATGCTCATCAGAGAATGTCCACCTGAGCCTCTCCTTGGTCACCAGTGCTGGTGCAATGCTCCTGCAACAGATTATACAAGAAGAGACCATTCATGAACCCGACAACGTGGTCTCCCTCTCACCAAGGCCGATTCAGTCACTATTGCTGCTGGATAGCCAGCCTGTCTATAGCTAAAATTAAAAAGAGTGACAACGCCAAATGGGAGCACACGTGGCACTAGCACTTTAGTAGAAGGTCTGACCACTTCTTAAAAGACTAAACACTCCTGGGTGTTTACTCAAGAGAACCGAAAGCGTCAGTCCATAAAAACATGAACGAGAATTTCAGAATAGCTTTATTCGTAAAGGCTCCAAACTGGAAACAGTGTGGTGCTATCAACTGAATTGCATCCCCCTCAAATTCATATGTTGAAATCCTGACCCCTAGTACCTTAGAATGGTACTGACTGTGTTTAAAGATAAGGCCTTTAAAGAGGCAGTTAAGTTAAAATGAGGTTGTTAGAGTGAGCCTTAATACAATCGGATTGGTGCCCTTTTAAGAAGAGGACATTACAACACCCAGAGAGAGAACCCCACGGGTGTGTGCACACCTAAGAAAGAGCATGTGAGGACAAAGCAAGAAGGTGGCCAACTGCAAGCCAAGGAGAGAGTCCTCAGAGGAATCCAACCCCACTGGCAGCTTAATCTTGGACTTGTAGCCTCCAGAGCTATGAGAAATTAATTTCAGGCCAGGTTCAATGACTCACGCCTGTAATCCCAGCACTTTAGGAGGCCAAGGTGGGCAGATTATAAGGTCAGGAGTTCAAGACCAGCCTGGCATGGTGGCCAACATGGTGAAACCCCATCTCTACTAAAAATACAAAGATTGCCCATGTCTATAATCCCAGCTACTCGGGAGGCTGAAGGAGAAGAATTGCTTGAACCCAGAAGGCAGAGGTTGCAGTGAGCTGAGATCGCGCCTCTGCACTCCAGTCTGGGTGACAGAACGAGAGACTCTGTCTACAAAAAAAAAAAAAAAAAAAAAAAATTAATTTTGGTTGTTAAACCACCAAGCCTTTAGTACTTTGTTATGGCAGCCTGAGCAAACTAAACTACCCAGGTATTCATGACCAAAATAATGAAAAAACAAATGGTATGGTATGATTTTAATGATAAAAATCTACTCACCAATAAAAAGTAAACTACTGATACATGAAACAATAAGTCTCAAAAATATTATGCTGAATGAAAGAAACCTTACACAAGGTTTCCTACCACTTATCATATCCTTTCAGTTACATGAAATTCTATAGCAGGCAAAACTAATATATGGTAAATAAAATCAGAATAGTGCTTGCTTCTGGGGCCAGATGGTAATGGGCACTGACAGCAGAGAAGGACCGTGTAGGAACTTTCTAGGTTCTGTAATTTTTAAAAGGGTTCAGTTACACAGGAGTATGGGCTTGTTAGCCTGAGAAACAGAACCAGTAAGAGAAACACATGAAGAAATGTATTGCCAGGAGTTGGCTGGTGCACAACGGTAGGGGCTGGCAAGGCAAGTCTGAAATCGGTAGGGCAAGCCCTAAGGAAGGGCTGTTCATGACTCGTTTTCCTTTCCCTTGGGAAAAATCTTGGAAATAAAAATTCTATGGTGTAGCTGCTTTATAAAACAGTCTGGCAATTACTCAAAAAATTAAACCTGGAGTTACCACATGCAACTCTACTCCTATGTGTATACTCAAGAGAACTGAAAACTTATGTCCACACAGAAATGTGTACAGGAATATTCATAGCAGTACTATTTATAACACCCCCAAAGTGGAAACCAGCTAAATATTCACCAGTTGATGAATAGATAAATAAAATGGGGTATTTTCAAACAACAGCTCATTATTCAGGCATAAAAAGGAATGAAATACTGACAAATGCCACAAAATGGATGAAAGGTGAATTGTACGAGATGTAATATCTCAATTAAAAAATAAAGTTCCAGGCCGGGTGAGGTGGCTCATGCCTGTAATCTCAGCACTGAGGCTGAGGGGAGTGGATCACGAGGTCAGGAGTTCGAGACCAGCCTGGCCAACATGGCGAAACCCCATCTCTACTAAATATGCAAAAATTAGCTGAGCGCAGTGGCGTGCACCTGTAGTCCCAGCTACCTGAGAGGCTGAGGCAGGAGAATGGCAAGAACCCGGGAGGCGGAGCTTGCAGTGAACTGAGATCTTGCCCCTGCACTCCAGCCTGGGCGACAGAGTGAGACTCTGTCTCAAAAAAAGTTCGGGCACAGTAGATCATGCCTGTAATTGCAGCACTTTGGGAGGCCAAGGTGGGAGGATAGCTTGAGCCCAGGAATTCGAGACCAGCCTGAGCAACATAGCGAGGTCTTGCCTTTACGAAAACTAATATAAAATAAAAAAATTAGCTGGGTGTGGTGGCACATTCCTGCAGTCCCAGCCACTTAAGAGGTTGAGGCAGGAAGATTGCTTCAGCCTGAGAGGTCAAGGCTGCAGTGAGCCATGATCACACCAGCAGTGGTGTGATCCAGCCTGGGCAACAGAGCAAGACTCTGTCTCAAATATATAAATAAAAATATAAATAAATAAACACAATTTGAACTATTGTCCTTGAATACGGTATATGTGCACCTTTCTCAGAAAGAAAGATTTTACTTTATTACACCAAGCAAACTGTGTAATGGTTGCAAAACTCCCACAATAAAATCTTTGTCCAAAAGTTGTGTTGACTCACTTTTTTTCCCTCGTGTTTTGAGGAT
Organism: Homo sapiens; assembly: GCF_000001405.40. Classification (NCBI taxonomy): domain Eukaryota; kingdom Metazoa; phylum Chordata; class Mammalia; order Primates; family Hominidae; genus Homo; species Homo sapiens. The sequence continues at coordinate 151,954,410 of NC_000007.14, forward strand.
ACGACATACATACAGTGAAGTATATACACTTTCAGTGACCAGCCCAATGCACGTTTGTACAAGTAGGCTCCGTGAAGCCTTCACTCCCCCAGATCAAGAAGACCCAGAACATTCCAGCACTCCAAAAGGCTCTCTCTTGCTCCCTCTCAGTAACCAGCAATCCTGTTCTGGCTCCCAAACACAGCTACTTGTTACTGATAGATAGATAAACTGTTCTATCACTTTAGAGTAGCTTTGCCTTTTCTTGCTCCCTTCCACATGCTGTAGGAATTTGGGTTGTGACCTCAGCAAGCCCTCGTTCTGCAGAAACTTCACAGAAATAGAATCGCGCTCTCCCATGAGCTGCTTCGGTCTCACGCCATGTCTGCGAGATGCATCCATGTTGTATGCAGCTGCAGTCTGGTCTTTTTCACTGCTGGTTTGCATTGCATTATATGAATATGCCACAGTGGGTCCATTCTACTACAGATGGACATTTGGGTTTTTTCCAGTTTGAGGCTAATATGAATAAAAGCTTACTTTTATATTATTAATGGGCAAGAAGGACCTTCCCATCGAGCCTGCAGAAAGGAGACTCATGAGTTTGGCTTGGACGTCATTAATGCCCGTCCGTCTGCCCCAGGAGGTCATTATAGCCCATTATGTTGTTACCGAGCAAAAGAGGTCACTGACCCGTGCGCTAGAAGCCAATAAATACTAAGACACTGGGTTTCAGAGAAAAGAAAAGCTTTTCATTGCAAATTGACCAACACGGAGACAGGAGTCCAGCTCAAATCTGTCTCGCTGTGCTGCCTTTAAGGAAATAATTTTATTAGAAAAGGGTTAGAGGGTGGGTTCCGGGATTAGCAGGAGATCGGTGGAAGGAAAGAGGAGGTCTGGCAAGTCCTCAGACATGCGCAGTTATCTCTTCATGCTTCCTCATGGGTGCTGTGTGCAAATCAAATTCCGGGGCAGTTAATACGAAACATGCGTGGAAATTCAGGCTGTGATATCAGCAAGCTCTTTCTGCAGAAACTCCAGTTGGCCATATTGGGTCCAACTGATTTCTGCCAGTTTTGTTATCACTTGTCACAGTTTCAGTATCTACCCCAGGAGGTCACGATTGCCCATTGTGTCTGTCCCAGGAGAGGTTGCGAGAGGTTCCCACCCACCCCCTTCCACTCACAGACCCTGAAGCAGAGCTTGTCTGGTTTCAGGCAAAACAGAGTCAGCATCCTGAAGCGGGGAGGGTCAAGTCTCCTGGGATGCGTTCAGAAGAAATTTCACAAGCATTTGGCTGAACTTGTGTACTGACATCTAAATGTTGAGTAACGTAGAGTAAAGAATTAAAAGGCAATCAAATAACCCTTTGGCTCATCTTTAAGTTTCTTCATGTTTTCTGAAAGCTTGTTCTTTTTCTTAAGTTTATTTCAAAAATGCTAAAAATTAGCCGGGCGCGGTGGCTCACGCCTGTAATCCCAGCACTTTGGGAGGCCGAGTCGGGCCGATCACGAGGTCCGGAGATGGAGACCATCCTGGCTAACACGGTGAAACCCCATCTCTATTAAAAATACAAAAAATTAGCCGGGCGTGGTGGTGGGCGCCTGTAGTCCCAGCTACTCCGGAGGCTGAGACAGGAGAATGGCGTGAACCCGGGAGGCGGAGCTTGCAGTGAGCGGAGATCGCAGAGATTGCAGAGATTGCACCACTGCACTCCATCCTGGGGGACAGAGCGAGACTCCATCTCAAAAATAAATAAATAAATAAATAAATAAATAAATAAATAAATAAATAAATAAATATAAAAAGCTAAAAATTAGGCCTTGCCTAGAGAAGAGAGTCACCCTGGATTCTAGCCTCACCTAATATGAGGCTTTCCCTATTTTCTCAGCTGAGGGGTAAGGACCCTTAGGACCTTGGAACTCCTGGATTCCACCTGCTGGTTGGAGCTTACAGGCAGGGGCCCCTGTGGGGCTGTGACGCCCTGTGTGATGTCATCAGGCTTTGTGAGGGGGACTGTACTGCCCTTTGAGTACTACTGTGTGGCCCCGCAACCCAGCACAACCAGGTATCTGCTTGGAACCCAGCCACCATAAAGCCTGCTAGCTAAAAAAAATTTTACATCTCTCAGTTCATTCGGCACAGACCCCTGCCTCATTCAGCTGTGACTCTGCTTGGAAAATTCATCAGTTACAAAGCAGCCAATGCAATTATCTCAAGGGTAGGTGAAGTGAGCCCCATGTGCTAGAAGTGGGAACAAAGATGGGGGGAAACGTCTTTCACTTTGAATCAGCGGAAGCAGTACATCAAATCACTGCGTCTTGAAGGAGGTGCTAGCTCTGGGGATTAGGTTTAAGAAGATTTATTTTATTTTTTAAAGAAGGAGTAGCCTCCTAGCTGGTTACACCACCCTAAACGTGGACTGGGCATTGTAATGGCTTTAGTTCATGAAAAATAGGGAAACTTTTCATTACATGTGTCTTTATGCTGGTAATGTTTATACAGTGACTGTATTACTTATTTGAAAAAAATAGGGAAATAAAGGCCCTTAGCAGTGTCATAAAGTCCTAGATCTTATATGGAGATCAGTATTAAGATGGTCCTAGGAAAGCTAGGGGTTAAAAATGCTGATTATAAACTGGGCACGGCAGCTGGCATCTGTAATTCCAGCTCCTGGGAGGCTAAGGTGGCAGGACCATGTGAGTCCAGGAGTTCAAGATCAGCTTGGATGAAAGAGTGAGACTCTGTCTCGAGAAAAAAAAAAAAAAAAAGGAAAAAAAGTGTTGATTATTGACAGAAGAATTAGTTGTGATATTATCTAAAGCATGGTCATGTTTTCCTGATTCAATAGACTCGTATTTTTTTAAAAACTTGGCCAGGCATGGTAGCTCATGCCTGTAATCCCAGCACTTTTGGGGGCCAAGGCAGAAGGATCACTTGAGCTCAGGAGTTTGAGACCAGCCTGGGCAACATAGCAAGACCTCATCTCTATTTAAAAAAAAAAAAAAAAAACAGGCGTGGTGGCACTCACCAGCCTGTAGTACCAGCTACTTGGGAGGCTGAAAGAGGAGGATCATTTGAGCCTGGGAAGTCAAGGCTGCAGTGAGCTGTAATTGGGCCACTGCACCCCAACCTGGGCAGCAGAGCGAGACCCTGTCTCAAAAAAAAAAAAGAAAAGAAAAAAAAAAAGAAAGAAACTCAATGACTGTAAATGCAGATTTAGGCTAGGGTTTTGGCGTGTTGGTGGGGGCATGTTGGTGACTATTAGCTGCATTCTTTTCTCTACAGGATTCTTTTGATCATCTGCTAAGTCTCTTTAATGCACTTAAAATTTTATTTGCTGTACATATGAATCCTCGTTGAAATATATTTTACAAATTCTGTGCTTTTCTAGCATTGAATTCTGCATCTTTTAGTGAAGAAAATAACTGAACATGGTTTTCTTCTGAAGACACAAAGTCCAAAGGCCAATCACACACCTCTTACATCGATCTCTTGATAGGAGGGGTTTTCTGTGTTTTGTGGGAGTATAGGGGGTGGGTTGGGAGGTGAGGTGCTTGTCACAGAGAAAACATAATATAAGAACTCATATTAGTAAAATAAGAAAATTAAGGAGGTTGGGGATATGTTCATAAGTGTTCACGTCTAAAGAGAATTCCCCCCAAGTTTTCCTGATGTATTAGAATCTTTCTAGAGAATAATTTATTTTTCAGTAATAATCCTATTGAGACAGGATTCTTTCAATGTCACTTTGCCAGCTGGACATTTCCCGGCTGGCAGCACCCGTCCTTGGGCCTCACTTGGCTCTAGGCTCACCTCTGGGCTTGCTCTCCCCACTGGACGCAGCAGGCTGCACTCGGCTGGCACTACCGACCTAGATTCTGCACACACACACCACTCTGTGCTTAGCCCATGGCTGGTCTGAGTGTGCCACAACCATCTTCCACCTTGGGCACCAGCATCTGGATGAGGGGGAACATGGTGGTGCCTGAAAACTCAGAGATGCCAACCGCCACAGAGCCCCAAGGGGTGTTACAGCTCTCACCTGGGGAGTCCCAAGGTCTGAGCCCCCAAGGACTGTTACAGCTCTCTGTCTCCTTCCTGCCACCTGCAGCATAGTGAAACGGGGTTGGGGAGGGGGGTGTGTTATGGCTTGTTTGGTTGCGGCAAACAGTGCAAGGGGTGTGTTGCAGCTCATTTGTGCTACAGCTCATTCTGTCCCACCATCCTGCTCCAGCCCACTGGTGCTCCTAGGCTGGCCCAGCCCTACCACCACTTCCCATGATGTGGGGTGGCCATCTGGCACTGGCAGAAGGTGGGAAGGTTACAGTGTTACAGCTCCTTTTGCACCCATCATTCGGTGGGTCCCAGGTCCTTGTCCTGCGTCCAAGAAGAATGAGGTTACACAGACACTGGAGAGTCAGCAAGGCAGAGAAGGGTTTTATTGAGCAACAGAACAGCTCTTGACACAAGAGGGGATCCAAAGTGGGTAGCCCTCTGTGTGAGAGGGGGCTCAAAGATGGATAGTCCCAACATGGGGCTGAGTCTGGGGTTTTCATGGGCTCAGAATGGGGAAGTACATGCTGGAAAGAGCACCAGTCCTTCCAGGTGGGCCTGGAAATAACACCATTTGATTGGCTACAAGGCATTGAGGAAGTTCTCACTCCGGTCGTGGACTCTGGCAACTCAGTTTTCAGGCTTTAAGCTGTCTTTGGCTTGAAGGTTGGATTTCACTGGGGACCTGCCCCTCTCTGCCTAGGAATTTGTCTGTCTCCTGTTGCTATCACTATCATATTAGTGCATGTGTTTATTTTGTATATTACATTTGGTTGTCTCCCCTTACCTTTTTTTTTTAACTAGTTTCTAATTGCTTTTGGTTTTTGGAGAAAGTTGACATGGAAGTTAACTTTAGATAACTTTAAAATTTAGATATTTAATAGGGAGATATGGTGGTAATGTAAATTAAAACAGCTTTATTCTCTTTTCAGGCGTCCTAATTCGCCATTTTCCCTAGTTAGAAGTTGCCTTCTTCTCTTTATATATTTGATACTTTTAATTGGCATAATCAAATATTTCATTTGTAAAGTGCTATTTATTCAATCAATGAATCTCTATTTTGCACCCAGGATCTTGGCCAGAGTGTTAAAGCCTGTGTCCTGGGGGATATTCCTGTTGTAATAAATGCTCCCAAATCAAAATTTACATTCCCCCTCCCTTAATCTGTATCCTCTGGACTCAGTCCCATATATACACCCTGCGTGCCTGCTGGTTCAAGATGGCTGATTCTGCAGCTCCTTTGGGAACACTCTCCTTCTTCCCTTAGCAGGGTAGCAGTTTCCCACACAGGCTAAGTTGTAATGTGACCCTACTTATTGATCTGGTGGCCAGGAGGGTACTGGGGGGAAGGTCCTGAGGCAGGGCACGTGTTGCCTTGCAAAGCAGAGGAGGAGAGCTAGCCTTGTTGGGGAGCAGTGGGCCATTTCTGTAGGCTCAGAGGGTTCCTGTGGACCTGGGCCTTCCAGGTCTCTGGCGTGTCTCTACCCAGACATCCCCATCCCACGTGTCAGAGCCTTCCTCCTTCCCTGGATAGAAGACCAGCCAGGCTTGAGAATTCAACCTTCCCTGGAGTTCTGCTGCCCAGATAATCAGGCCCTGGGCATGATCCTCAGCTCTCCCCGCCCTTCGGTTGTAGGAAATGAGATCCTTCATATGCTAACAAGGGCCTCTGACTCTGTTAATTTGCTTTAAATTGGTGATTACCACCCTCAGCCTTCCTTGCCTTTTTCAGATGCAACCATGGCATCCGGCAATAGCCATCTACCTTGCAATATTTATAATTACTCCTCCCTGTTCCTCAGTCAAGCGCACCAACCAGAAAATTCCTTTCCACCTATATTCCATCCTGATTCACAGCCAGTGAGATTTTAACAAGCACATATCAGCCACAGTATGCCAGGGGCTTTCAGAACACCACCTTTCCACCAGCAATGGGATGCTCAGGGCCAGCCGCCTGGAGGGTGGCTTAGCCCTAAAATCCCCTTTACAGCCCATTTTCCTGGACCATTAGCAACCATCATACTAGGTCAAGTTCCCCAGGAAGAAGACTATTCGACTAAGATTTGCATGGAAAACTTTATTCGGAGCAGATCTGGGGACAAACACTGCAAGGCAGGGACACAAGTAGGTTCAATCAGAGGAAGAGCCTAGATGGCAGTGCAGCTTCCAGAAGAGACTCCACCCACCCCACAGGCAGCTTGCGCTCTCCAGAGTCCCCCCAGATAGACAAGGGAGCTGCACCCATTGACCAGTCTTTGAATGCGAGATCCCCAGAGAGGGGGACACTTGGGCAAAGCGGCTTGCCTCGGTCATGAGCTGTGAGCCTGTGGCAGCTACTTCTCATGGCAGCTGGGAGAATGGGTGTCTCTGCCCTGAAGGCGGTGTCTCGGTAGCGCAGCACAGCATCCCATGTAGAAGACATCTTGTCCAGGTGAGTTCAAGTCTCTTTGAGGGGACAATGTCCTATTCTGGTGCTTTGATGCCATGGAATTGCTCTGGATACCAAGTTCTGTCAAGCAGCGTGGGTTTCCTACTGAAGCTACAATGTATATGCAAGCCAGTTCCTGGGACATGCCTAAGGTCAAAACCGTAGAAGTCAAAGCCAAGCATGGGGGCGTGTGCCTATAGCTCCAGCACTTTGGGAGGCCAAAGACGGAGGATCACTTGAAGCCAGGAGTTCGAGGCTGCAGTGAGCTATGATCATGCCAACTGCACTCCAGCCTGGGTGACAGAGTGAGACACCAACTCACAAACAAAACAAAGCTGTGCACAGTGGCTCACACCTGTAATCCCAGCACTTTGGGATTAATCCCTTGGGAGGCCAAGGCAGGCAGATTGCTTGAGCTCAGGAGTTCGAAACCAGCCTGGGTAACATGGCAAAACGCCAACTCTACAAAAAAAAAAATACAAAAACTAGCCGGGTGTGGTGGTGGGCACCCGTAGTCCCAACTACCTGGGAGCCTGAGGTGGGAGGATCACTTGAGCCAGGGAGGTAGGTCAAGGCTGTAGTGAGCCAAGATTGCACCACTGCACTCCGGCCTGGGTGACAGAGCTAGACCCTTTCTCAAAACAAAACTGTAGAAGCCAAATTCTGTTCTCAAGTTAGAGAGAGGACAAAAATGGGAGACAATAGTAAATATTCAAAGGCCAAGAGGATACTTGAGCAAATCAGAGTGTGGGTCGAAGGAGGACAGACGCTGACGGTCCTAGAGCTTGGATTTACCTGCAGGGCCTAAGGCTCATTTCAGGGATTACCTTTTCCAGGTGCAGGGATGACATGTGATGGAAAGGGGCAGGGTCCAGGGGACAAGTGGCTGATGTATTCTTGTGTTTACCAGTATCCATGCTGTTTGATATGGTTTGCATTTCTAATCTGTTTAGAAAATCTTTATTTTAAAAATATTTTTCAGTGTAATGCATACATATAAAAAATAAAATAAAAACAAAATCTTATAAAGAAAATCAGCAGGTCCCTGCCCAGTTCCTGCCCAGCCCCCAGTTCAACTCCCTCTTACAATCACTTTTGACTCTTCAATCTGTTTCTTATGATAGTTACCTTCTTTTTTTTTTTTTTTTAATGGAGTCTCTCGCTCTGTTGCCCAGGCTGGAGTGCAGTGGTGTGATCTCGGCTCACTGCAACCTCCAACTCCCGGGTTGAAGCGATTCTCCTGCCTCAGCCTCCTGAGTAGCTGAGATAACAGGCGCATGCCACCACACACAGCTAATTTTTGTATTTTCAGTAGAGACAGGGTTTTACCATGTTGGTCAGGCTGGTCTTGAACTCCTGACCTCGTGATCCACCCACCTCAGCTTCCCAAAGTGCTGGGATTACAGACCTGAGCCACAGAGCCCAGCCCACCTTCATATTTTAAACGGAGTTCTTAGACTTCTATTTTTTTAATTAATTTTATACATCAACTTCATTTTTATTACATGACCTCCATTTCTTCTAGTTTATTTTTCCTTAAAAAAGTCTGTGTGATTTTTTTTTCTTTTTTTTTTTTTTTGGTTAATGCAGTAATCAGTGTTTGCATCTTATCACTCTGTAAATACTGTTCCTTAATTTTTACCATCAGCTGTGTCATCCACCTAAACTTCTCCATCCCACATACTCTTCCTCTCAACGGGGTTGCATTCAATGTCCTGGGTCCATGTCTGGGTTTTGTTTGTTTGTTTGTTTAATAGACAGAGTCTTGCTCTGTCTCCCAGACTGGAGTGCAGTGGCATGATCTCAGCTCACTGCAACCTCCACCTCCCGGGTTCACACAATTCTCTTCCTCCAGCCTCCCAAGTAGCTGGGATTACAGGAGCCCACCACCATGCCCAGCTAATTTTTCTATTTTTAGTAGAGACAAGCTTTCACCATGTTGGCCAGTCTGGTCTCGAACTCCTGACCTCAAGTGATCCACCCACCTCGGCCTCCCAAAGTGCTGGGATTCCAGGAGTGAGCCACCATGCCCGGCCCATGTCTTCTTTATTTGCTTTTTCCTTTATTGCCATTTGCAATCCACAGGTAGTTTCCCAAAAAAAAGAATACATGGAGAGTAATTTTTGTGAGCCCTTTACATAGCTGAAAATATTTTTATTCCACTCCCAAGCTTGATTAAATTTTGACTAGATCAAGAATTGATGCATAAAATTTCAAGCTGTTTTATAGTTTCACAATCCAGTGTTGCTGTTGAGAAGTTTGATGTCATTTTGACACTCTTTCTAGTCTCATTCATTATATGGGGCATTCTGTGGGCCCCTTTAGTTCTGCAAATGTTTGTATGATTGCGTTGACAATTTCCTCTCCATTTTTCTCTCATCACTTTGTGGAACTCATTACTGGGTAGATGTTCTTTCTGCCTTCTAGAATGAAACACCACAGGTCTCAACTTTCTCTTAGGCTTCCCTCTGCCATTTTCTTGTGCATTTCAAAATATTCCTTTCCCACCATTTTTCTAATGATTTTTATTATGTATTTATTTTGAGACGGAGTCTCACTGTGTTGCCCAGGCTGAAGTGCAGTGGCACAATCTAGGCTCACTGCAATCTCGGCCTCCCGGGTTCAAGCCATTCTCGTGCCTCAGCCTCCAGAGTAGCTGGGATTATAGACGTGGGCAATCATGCCCAGCTAATCTTTGTATTTTTAGTAGAGATGGGGTCTCACCATGTTGGCCAGGCTGGTCTCCAACTCCTCACCTCAAGTGATCCGCCCACCTCGGCCTCTGGAAGTGCTGGGATTACAGGCATGAGCCACTGCGCCTGGCCATTTATTCTAATTTTTAAATGTGAACAATCGTGTTTTAAATTGCAGCTTCCCCTTTTTATTCTCTCAATGCTCCTTTTTGATAGCCTGTTCCTCTGGTTGTATGACTGTAGCACCTTCTTTGATCTCTCTGAGCAACCAACATCAATGTTTTGATATTTTCAAAGTTCTCATTTCTTTCTTCCCCTTTCTGGTTCTATTTGCATTTTCTTTCCTTCTGGAGTCTTTCCTCAAATGTCTCAGGCAATCCTTGGCAGCTGTAGGAGTCAGCTCCGGCTGCCATAACCAAGTCCAACAGACTGGGAGGCTTGGCCAACTCTGATTTTCCTACAGTTCTGGAGGCTGGAGTCGGCATCCAGCTGCCGGCAGGTTTGGTTTCCCTGAGGCCTGTCTTCAGGGCTTGCAGGTGGTTGCCTTCGCGCTGTGCCCTCACCGGTCTTTTCTCTGTGCAAGCACCTGCCTGGGGACTCTTCCTCTTCCCATAAGGACACTGGTCCTATTGGAATTGGGCCCACCCTGTGACCTCATATAACCATAATTACCTCTTTAAAAGCTCTGTCTCCAAATGCAGTCGCACTGGGGCTTGGTGCTTCCACATGTGAGTTGCAGGGGGACACAGTTCCGTTCATTGCAGCATTCGATTCTGATATGGTTTGGTTGTGTCCCCACCCAAATCTCATCTTGAATTCCCACGTGCTGTGTGAGGAACCCAGGGGTAGGTCATTGAATCATGGGGGCAGGTCTTTCCCATGTTGTTCTCGTGAGAGTGAGTAAGTCTCACGAGATCTGATGGTTCTATCAGGGGGAATTTCCCTGCACAAACTCTCTCTTTGCCTGCTGCCATCCATGGTGTGGCTTGCTCCTCCTTGCCTTCCAGCCTGATTGTGAGGCCTCCCCAGCCACGTGGAACTGTAAGTCCATTAAACCCCTTTTCCTGTATAAATTACCCAGCCTCGGGTATCTTCATCAGTGTCGTGAAAACAGACTAATACTGATTCCAATCCCAAAGTGAGATGCCAACCAGCTGATTGGAATAGCTGAGTGTTGGGCCAACCTTGGCCACAGGTGTGCTGTCTTCAGGGGGACGACCCAGGGAGCCGCCTGCCTTATTGGAAGCTCTTACATTTCAGCATGTGGAGGTCTTTTCTCCAGGCCCTGTCTTCTCATCCCAGAACAATTCTATCAATCCCACCTCAGACGTAGCAACCTGGCTGCCGGGATCCTGTGTGGGAGGAAGGGAAGAAGACAGATGGACCCAGACACTCCACATCCACATATTCTAAGTGACACTCTTGGTTTTAGCCCCAAGTTTTCCTTTGTAGAGGCTCAGCCTCTACCAGTCTACTTCTCCAAAGAAGAAACCACTCTGACTCCTGCCTGGGTTTTGCTGTGCAGGGCTGGGCAAAGAGAGCTGACTATTCTGAATACTAACACGTGGCTTTCCCCAAGCCCAAAGCCATGTGTCCACTGACTCACCAGGGGCATCCAAGCCCCAAGCTGCTCCAGGGTTAGCAGCCTTGTTTCCACATCAGAGTCCTCTGTCTTTCCAAATTGTTACCACACGTCCAATAACGTTCTCGCCTCCAGACGTGTTAAAATCTCATGTGCATTGATGTTCCCTCTACCGCTCTCTTTTCCCATGAGAGTTTTTAGCTTTATTCTTATTCAGTTGAGTCAAGAGGGAGAGAAGACACACACACATTCAATCTATCATCTTTAAAGGAAACCTCGCAAGACTTTCTTCTTTCTTTTTAAAATAAATTACAATTTCAAACAGAAGGAAAATATAGAGAAAAATATCATGAGCACTCTGTGTTCTCATTTATCAAGCTCAATCAAATCACATCATTTTGCCACATTTTCTTCAGAGCTTAATTAAAAAATCAGCGTTAACAGTAGGAGGCTGGACATGGTGGCTCACACCTGTAATCCCAACACTTTGTGAGGCTAAGGCGGCAGAATTGCTTGAGCCCAGGAGTTCAAGGCCAGCCTGGGCAACATAGTGAGACCTTGTCTATACAAAAAAATAATAATAATAATAATTAGCCACGCGTGGTGGCATGTGCCTGTGGTCTCAGCTATTCAGGAAGCTGAGGTAGGAAGATCACTTGAGCCCAGAAAATCAAGGCTGCAGTGAGCCATGTTTGTGCCACTGCACTCTAGCCTGGGTGAGGGGAGTGAGACCCAGTCTCAAAAAAAAGGGATACAGTAGGAGTTCTTTATTCTCCTCCCCCCAACCATGGAGGTAATCACTGTTATGTAAATTCACTATTATATATATATATAATCACTATTATGTAAATTTGGGTACATCATTCACATGCATGGTTTTTTTCCCATGCATTTGCTACATATTGGTGTACCCATAAATAATTGCACTGCTTTTCATGTTTTCCAAATTTATATCACACCCTACTTGCTTTTTGCACATGATGTTTTTTAGACTTTACAGCAGTAGTACACATAGCTCCAGCTGATTCATTTCCATCATTGAAAGAGTAGCCTCACTTTATTAGTTCTCCTGTTGAGGGAAACTTCAGTTGCATCTAGTTTTCTTTTGTTCTTTTCTTTCTTTTTTTTTTTTTGTTTGAGACGGAGTTTCATTCTTGTTGCCCAGGCTGGAGTGCAGTGGTGCGATCTTGGCTCACTGCAACCTCCGCTTCCCAGGTTTAAGCGATTTTCCTGCCTCAGCCTCCTGAGTAGCTGGGATTACAGGTGCCTGCCACAATGCCCGGCTAATTTTTTGTATTTTTAGTAGAGACAGGATTTCACCATATTGGCCAAGCTGGTCTCGAACTCCTGACCTCAGGTGATCCACCTGCCTCGGCCTCCCAAAATACTGGGATTACAGGCATGAGCCACCACACCCGGCCAGTGTCTAGTTTTCACTATGACAAACATTACTTCAATAAACATTCTTGTACCTGTCTCATGATACATCTCTTTAGATGAGAGCTGCAACTTATGAGTCTCTTTAGGATATATCCCTAAGGATGGAATTGCTTTGTCATATCATATACATATCTTCAACATGACTAGATATTGCCAAAACGATTGTGCCATTGTGCCATTCATCAGTGGTGGGCCACAGTACTCACTGCTCCCTTTATTTCCAGCATGTGATTGTGTGTTTTTACATTTTTAACAAGCTGCTTGAAGTCAGATCAGATTTTTTAGAGATCCATACTATCACTCCAAGGTAGACTGGATCTGGATAAGGGATGAGTAAGCCTTCTTTGATGGTATTTCCTATATGTACACGAGTATGGGCCAATGACTTGAAATGACACCGTATGTTTTATAAGCATGTTATACATTTTGATGTTAAATAATCTTAGGAATATCAGTTTTAGGAATTTGTGCTAATAGAAATAAGGACACACTTTATGTATATGATAAGGGCCATCAACGTGATTGTTTTTAAAACACTAAAAATGGAATTTAAGCCAAGTAGGTGATCTACAAACCATTGGAATATCTAATGCTGCTCCTCTTAAATCATTCTGATTTAGGAAATTGAAAAATGGACCTTTGAAAATGCTAGATTTACAATGAGAAATGCCATAATTCAAGGTTTATTCTATGGGTCCTTGACATTTGGGATCTGGACAGCTCTGTTATTCATATATTTGCACCATAATCATGTGAGCAGCTGGCAGAAGAAAAGCCAGGAGCCTCTGTCAGCTTGGTCCCCTGGAAAAAAAGTGCATCAGCAAATTATCTATGGCTCAGAGCAAATACCAAAACCTCATGTAATAGTCAAAAGGACTGATGAAGATAAAGCAAAGTCTATGTTAGGTAAGTATTTGGATTTTTTTCCGTTAGCCATTTGAAGGGGAAAATGTACAACAATATTTAATATTTGGAAGAGTACGAGACTATCCTTTTTAAAGCAATTTACTTTTTAAGATATAAATTATTTTATATAGTGTATATATCTATACATAGAAAATAATAAAACAAGTATGCATGTATTTACCACTTAAATTTATCATTTTAAATATCATTTGGCTATATTTGCTTCAGAGAGCTTTCTGTTTTTCCAAGAAATAAGTTGTAATAGTACAGTAAAAACTCCACCTCCCTCCCGTCCCCACGCCACCCTCAGAGGTTGTCTGACCTGAATTGATGGGTGTCTTTCTCATGTATGTCTTTCCACTTCCTCTGTATATTATCCCTAAGCAAAATATTGTGTTCTATATTTTTAATATATTTTTAGGTATTCTGATACACATATCTTTTTGGAATTTGCTTTTGTCCCTCATCACTATGTTTGTAAGATTATTTTTCCATGTTCCCACACATGAAGACCTAGTTTTGCCAGGCATGGTGGCTCACACATGTAATCTCGACCCTTTGGGAGGCCAAGGCAGGAGGATCACTTGAGGCCAGGAGTTCAAGACCTGCCTGGGGAACATAGCAAGACACCACCTCAACAAAAATAGTAATAAAAACTAGCCAGGTGTAGTGGTGCATGCCTGCAGTCCCAGCTACTTGGAGAGCTGAGGTGGAAGGATCGCTTGAGCCCAGGAAGTCAAGGTTACAGTGAGCTATGATTGGGCCACTATACTCCAGCCTGGGCAACAGAGTGAGATGCTGCCTCAAAAAAAAATAAATAAATAAAATACAAATATGAAGACCTAGTTTAACAAAATAAACCCAAAGAAAGATGAAGAAAATAAGAGTAGAAATTAAAGCCTTAACACACAGGCCTACTATTTCTGTGGATCCCTGCTCTGAACGGCCCTCCCACTAGATGACTAGGTAGGTGTGGGCCTGAAACCCTACCCTAAGCACTACTCCAGCGTGTGACACACGACAGCCCCTTGGCAGGTCTCCTGCTCATTTCCCCGAGGTCACACCCTAATTCTGGCTCTCAGTCTTACCACTCGGATGGTGAGAGAAAGGAGAGAAACAGCAAACCAAGGGTGAGTGCCAGGGGGACAGTGTTGCTTTCTGGGATGTGAGTAGAACCTGATTCTCTGCCAAGTGAAACAAGTATTGGGATGGCCAAACTGTTCCCCAAAGTAGCTGGGCCACTTTACGTGAGTGTACGAGAATCCCATTTTCTCTGGATCTTTGCCAACACTTGACATGGTCCAGTTTTTAAATTTTAGTTATTCTAATGGGTGAGTAAAGCCATCACTTTGGTCTTAATTTGTATTTCCCTGATGACTAATGATTTTGAGCACATTTTCATGTGCTTGATAACCACTCATATACTGTCTTTTGTAGAGGATCTTTTGGAATCTTTTGTCTATTTTTAAATGGCATGTTTTTCTTCTTAATTTTTAAGACTTCTTTATATATCCTAAATTCAAGTTTCTTGATATGTGAGTTTCAAATGTTTTGGACAAATATGTAGTTTGCCTTTTTATTCTCTTTAATGGTGTTATTCAAAAAGCACAATTTTACATTTTAAAATTTTCGGTTTTTTATTTTTCATAAGTCCCCAAAATGCCTCACAATGTTACATTTTGGTGCTGTTCAATTCATCCCATTTTCTTGTATGATTTATGGTTTTTATGTTTCATCTGAGAAACCTTTGCTTACAAGTTCACAAAGATTTCATTCTATGTTTTCTTTTGGAAATGAATTTAAAGTTTTAGGTTTCACATTAAGGCCATGATCTATTTCGAGTTAATTTTTGTGATGATGTGAGGTAAGAATAAATGCTCATTTTTTCCATATGGATATTGTGAGAAACAAACTCACCCATCCAAACCCAATGAATGGACTCAGAGACCCAGAGAATAGTCAAAGTGAGACTTTTAATGGCGGTGATGCAAGAGCGGGTGTCTGGCACGCAGACACAGCCAGCACAGTTTCAACCAGCAATGTATCCCCTAGTGCGCAGATCCCTCCCCGGTTCCTCATAGACTGAGTACTATGAGGTCACCATCTTCCCGGATGTCGCCTATTGATTGTTAGACAGGGGCTTCAAGTATGTTCTTTAGGGTCTTTCTGCTGCATTTTATTGCAGCCCACAATGCATTGCAACTCTCTCAGGACTCTTCAAACATTTGATTTATGGCCCTAGTGGCTGCACTTAGCTGATAAGAAAGGGTACAATTACCTATGTTGCAAGCTAAACAAAACTAAATTTTTGTTTTGTTTTGTTTTGCTTTTGAGATGGAGTCTCGCTCTGTCGCCCAGGCTGGAGTGCAGTGGCACGATCTCGGCTCACTGCAAGCTCCGCCTCCGGGGTTCACGCCATTCTCCTGCCTCAGCCTCCCGAGTAGCTGGGACTACAGGCACCAGCCGCCACGCCTGGCTATTTTTTTTTTTGTATTTTTAGGAGAGACGGGGTTTCACCGTGTTAGCCAGGATGGTGTTGATCTCCTGACCTCGTGATCCACCCACCTCAGCCTCCCAAAGTGCTGGGACTACAGGCGTGAGCCACCGCACCCGGCCCCAAAACTGAATTCTTTGGTGGGTGGGGAGGGGGTAGTTGGGGGGGCCCCCACCAATAGACGCCTGGCCGCTGGGTGAAAGGGAAAGCAGGAAGGGGCGGGGGGTGGGGGTGGGCTCAGTACATTCTGCTTCTTTATCTCCCTATTTCCATGTAGCCTGCTTAAACCTATACTAAGCCACTTAGAATTGAAAATGGACCATCACATATAGGTTATTTTCTACAGATAATCCAGATGATCCAACACCATTTGTTGATAAACTTCCCTTTCCCCACTGATACAATCAGAATATTTATCCCTCCATGTCTCATGTTGAAATTTGTCCCACAATGTTGAAGGTGGAGCCTGGCAGGATGTGTTTGGGTTACGTGGCCAGATCCCTCATGAATGGCTTGGTGCCTGCCTACAGTAATGAGCTCTCCTTCTATTAGCTCATGGGAAAGCTGGTTGTTTCAAGAGCCTGGCATCCCCCGCTCCTTGCTCCCTCTCTCACCACGTGACCTGCCTGTTTCCCTTTTACCTCCTGCCAAGATTGGAAGCTTCCTGAGGCCCCCACCAGGAGCAGATGCTGGCTCAATGCTTCCTGCAGAACTGTGAGCCAAATAAATCTCTTTTCTTTATAAATTACCCAGCCTCAGGTATTCCTTTATAGCAATGCAAAATGTACTAAAACACCCACCTTTGCCAAGAATTATTTGACCATTTTTGCACAGATCGATTTCCGAATTCTATTCTGGTTCTTTTAAAAAATTGTTTTGGTTATTCTAGATCTTTCCTTTCCTGCATCACTGCTAGTAAGCCTTTACTTATATGATTCTAATTACATTTTCTTGCAGGTACAGATTTTAACCATACAAACCCAGAACTTCATAAAGAACTTTTAAAATATGGATTTAATGTGATTATCAGTAGAAGCTTGGGCATCGAAAGAGAAGTGCCAGATACCAGGAGTAAAATGTATGTTGTCTCTCTCTTTCTCTCATTCTCTAGATAGATAGATAGATAGATAGATAGATAGATAGATAGATAGAAAGAAAACAGTTACTAACCAGATTTTAATTTGATCATACTAGAAATGTTATAGATTCCTATTTTTAGGACTTGAAGTCAGATAATGTCAAGATTCTATTTCAAGATTCTAATGCTTATAGTGTAGAGAATGTCTTCTTCGTGGGCACAAAATGTGTTCTAGAGGCTTCCAAGAATTGAGTTACCCACAGATCTTTTTATTAAATCACCAATAAGGGCTTCTGGCCAAAGGGGCATTCATTCCTGATAGAAAATGCTCTGGACAGCTACTTTTTATTCCCCAAAATTTACTTTTTTCAAAAAAATTGTTCTTTCAATTGTTGCATTAATAATTATTATGTTAATGATTAACATAATCATTGTTATGTGATAAAATACACATAACATAAAATTTGCCATTTTAATCCTCTTTAAATGTACAATACAGACATTCACATTGTGCAGCCATCGATACCATCCATCTCCAGAACTCTCTCACCATCCCAAACTGAAATTCTGTACCTGATATGGTTTGGCTCTATGTCCCCACCCAAATCTTGTCTTGAGTTGTAATCCCAGGTGTCAAGGGAGGGACCTGGTGGAAGGTGATTGGATCATGGGGGTGGTTTCCCTCATGCTGTTCTCATGATAGTGAGGGAGTTCTCATGAGACCTGATGATTTTAAAAGTAGCAGTTTCCCCTGCATTCTCTCTCTCTCTCTCTTCTGCCACCATGTAAGACATGCCTTGCTTTCCCTTCACCTTCTACCATGATTGTCAGTTTCCTGAGGCTTCCCAGCCATGTGGAACTGAGTCAATTACACCTCTTTTGTTTAGCAATTACCCAGTCTCAGGTAGAATCTTTATAGCAGTGTGAAAATGGATTAATACAGAAAATAGGTACCAGGAGTGGGGCACTGCTATAAAGATACCTAAAAATGTAGAAGCAACTTGGGAACTGGGTAACAGGCAGAGGTTGGAATAGTTTGGAGGTCTCAGAAGAAAAGAGGAAGATGTGGGAAAGTTTGGAATTTCCTAGAGACTTGTTGAATGGCTTTGGTAAAAATGCTGATAGTGATAAGGACAATGAAGTCCAGGCTGAGGTGGTCTCAGATGGAGATGAGGAACTTGTTGAGAAATGGAGTAAAGGTGACTCTTGTTATGCTTTAGCAAAGAGACTGGTGGCATTTTGCCCCTACCCTAGAGATCTATGGAACTTTGAACTTGAGGTTTGGAAAATTTGCAGGTGACTATGTGGTAGAAAAGAAAAACCCATTTTCTGGGGAGAAATTCAAGCCCAATCCAGCTGCAGAAATTTGCATAAGTAATGAGGAGCTGAATGTTAATAGCCAAGACAATGGGGAAAATGTCTCCAGGGCATTTCAGAGACCATGGCAACTCCTCCCATCACAGGCCCAGAGGCCTAGAAGGAAAAATGATTTTGTTGGCCAGGCCCAGGGCCCTGCTGTTCTGTGCAGCGTTGGGACAAGGTGCCCTGTGTCCCAGCCACTCCAGCTCCAGCCATGGCCAAAAGGGACCAAAGTACAACTAAGGCTGTGGTTTCAGAGGTTGCAAGCTCCAAGCCTTGGTGGCTTCCATGTGGTATTGGGCCTGTGGTGCACAGAAGACAAGAGTTGAGCTTTGGGAGCCTCCACCTAGAATTCAGAGGATATATGGAAACACCTGGATGTCCAGGCAGAAGCCTGCTGCGGGGGCAGAGCCCTCGTGGAGAACCTCTACTAGGGTAATGCAGAGGTGAAATGTGGGGATAGAGACACCAAACCTAGTCCCCACTGGGGCAATACCTAGTGGAGCTGTGAGAAGAGGACCACCTTCCTTCAGACCCCAGAATGGTAGATCCACCAACAGCTTGCACCATGCACTTGGAAAAGACACAGGCACTCAACACCAGCCCTTGAAAGCAGCTGCGGGGGATGTACCCTGCAGAGCCACAGAAGCAGAACTGCCCAAGGCCTTGGGAGCCCACCCCTTGCATCACTGTGACCTGGATGTGAGACTTGGAGTCAAAGGAGATCATTTCAGAACTTTAAGATTTAGGGGCCAGGCACTGTGGCTCAAGCCTATAATCCCAGCACTTTGGGAGGCTAAGGCAGGTGGATCACGAGGTCAGGAGTTCAAGACCAGCCTGGCCAGGATGGTGAAACCCCATCTCTACTAAAAATACAAAAAAAAAAAAAAATTAGCCAGGCATGGTGATGCGTGCCTATAGACCCAGCTACTTGGGAGGCTGAGGCAGGAGAATTGTTTCAACCCAGCCAGCAGAGGTTGCAGTAAGCCAAGTTCACACCACTGCACTCCAGCCTGGGTGACAGAGCAAGCTCCGTCTTACAAAAAAAAAAAAAGAAGATTTAATGTCTGCCCCGCTGGGTTTCAGACTTGCATGGGGCCTGTGGCCCCTTTGTTTTGGCCAATTGGCCAATTTCTCCCATTTGGAATGGGAATATTTACCCAATGCCTGTACCGCTATTGTATCTTGAAAATAACTAACTTGTTTTTTATTTTATAGGTTCATAGGAGGAAGGGACTTGTCTCAGATGAGACTTTGGACTTGGATTTTTGGGTTAATGCTGGAATGAGTTAATACTTCGGGTGACTGTTGGGAAGGCGTGATTGGTTTTGAAATGTGAAATGAGATTTGGGAGGGGCCAGGGGCAGAATGATATGGTTTGGCTGTGTGTCCCCACCCAAATCTCATGTTGAATTGTAATCCTCAGGTGTCGAGGGAGGGGCCAGGTGGGAGGTGATTGGATCATGGGAGTAGTTTCCCCCATGCTGTTCTCATGGTAGTGAGGGAGTTCTCATGAGACCTGATGGTTTTTAAAGTGGAAGTTTCCCCCGTGCTCGCTCTCTGTCCTGCTGCCGTGTAAAATGTACCTTGCTTCCCCTTCACCTTCTGCCATGATTATAAGTTTCCTGAGGCCTCCCCAACCATGTGGAACTGTGGTCAATTAAACCTCTTTTGTTTAGAAATTACCCAGTCTCAGGTGGTATCCTTATAGCAGTGTGAAAATGAAGTAATATAATACAGTACCCAATAAACAACAACTCTCCATTTCCCAACCCCAGCACTTCCTGGCAGTCATCATTCTACTTTGTGTGTCTATGAATTTCATTACTTTAAGTACCTCATATAAGTGGAATCATATAGTATTTGTCTTTTTTTGTGACTGGCTTATTTTGCTTAGCATGATGCCCTCAAGGTTCATCTATGTTGTAGTGTGTATGTGCTAATGCGTTTTTAGCATCTTTAAGTTCTGATGGTTTCCAGACAAAAAGGGCCAATATTCTCCTTTAACTAAATGAGAAGTACTTACATTAAGGATATCCATGAAACAGGAGAAAGCAGGGCCACTTTGCCTTGTTGCAACTTGTGTGCAACGCAAACATTTGAAGCCACAAATATCACTCATGATGTGGTACACTCAAGAGACGTGGAGTTTGTACATGATGACACAATGTATCTGGGTCATGATAAAATAAAAAACTTAAATTTACTCAAACCATAGAACATGGTATTAACATAGAGAACAATATTTCACTGAACTGAATATTTACTACAAAGGTCACCATTTTAACATATCTTTTAGGTTATGAATTTCTCTCTGTATCATCATTTGTTCTCCCTAAATCTCACCTTCTAAAATAGTATGATTGCTTTTGCTTCCCTTCCCCCATCACATGATTACTGTTCAGAAAAACAAAGTTTAGAGAGATTTGTCCAGAAAGAAAAGTGGACTTGGCAGTTTTAATATTTAAAATATAACTTATTTAATAGGAAATTCAATTCTGTACAAAGAGCCCACTACTATGTTTAAAAATTAACTTCTAAGAGCAACTACCACTATCTGGAGTCCAACCAGATTTTTAGCCATTATTGTAATAGCCATATTATTTCATTAAATGGAATTTTCATTTTAGCTTTCCCTTACTTTTTTTAAAAAATGTAATTTGGTCTCATAAAATGAGTTTGGAAGTGTTTCTTCCTCCTTAATTTTTTGGAAGAGTTTGAAAAGGATTGGTATTTATTCTTTAAATAAATTCAGTAGTGAACCCATTAGGTCCTGGAGTTTTCTTTGGTGAGAGATTTTTATTCCTGATTGAATGCCCTTACTCATTTTTAGTCTGTTCAGATTTTCAGTTTCTTCATGATTCAGTCTTGATAGGTTGTATGTTTCTGGGAATTTATTCATTTCTCCTAGGTTATCCAATTTGTTGGCATATAATTGTTCATAGTAGTCTTTTATGATTCTCTGTTTTTTCTGTGATATCAATTATGTCTCTTCTTTCACTTCTGGTCTTGTTTTTTTGAGTCTTCTTTTTTCTTAATTAGTCTAGCTAAAGGTTTGTCAAATTTGCTTATCCTTTTAAAAACCCAACTCTTTGTTTGGTTTGTCTTTTCTATTGTTTTCCTAATCTCTATTTCATTTATTTCTGCACTTATCTTTGTCATTTTCTTTCTTTTACTAAATTTGGGCTTAGTCTGCTGTCTTTTTCTTGTTCCTTCAGGTATAACATTAGGTTGTGTGTTTGGAAACTTTCTTCTGCTTTGATATAGGTGTTTATTCCTATAATTCCAAAACTTAGTACTGCTTTTGCTGCATCCCATATGTTTTGGTATTTTTTTTTATTTCCATTTGTCAAGATATTTTTAATTTTCATTTTAATGTCTTTTTAAAAATTTCTTCTTTGGCCCATTGGTTGGTTAGGAACATGTTGTTTAATTTCCATATATTTGTGAGTTTTCTGAAATTTGTCTCATTATTGATTTCTAGTTTCATACCATTGTGGTCAGAAAAGATACTTGATATGATTTCAATCTTAAATTGTTAAGACTTGTTCTGTGGCCTAATATTTGATCAATCCTGGAGGATATTCCATGTGCCTCAGAGAAGAAATATATGCTCTTCAGCTGTTGGATAAAATGCTCATGTGTGTCTGTTAGGTCCATTTGATCTAAAGTATAGTTGAAGCCCAGTATTTCCTTATTGATTTTCTGTCTGGATGATCTGTACATAGTTGTAAGTGGGGTATTGAAGTCCTCTACTTTTATTTTATTGCAGTCTATCACTCACTTCAGATTATTAATATTTGCTTTATATATTTAGGTTCTCTGACGTTGGGTGCAGATATATTTACAACATGTCTTCTTGATGTTATATCTTGGTATTATATTACCAACTGGCAATATAATATTGTTATATCTTCTTGATGAAAGGGGCCCCTTATCACTATAAAATGACCTGCTTTATCCATCTCTTTTTGCAATTTTTGACTTACTGTCTGTTTTACTTCAGTATAAGTATCCTCTGCTCTCTTTTGGTTTCCATTTGCATGAAATATCTTTTTCCATCTCATCACTTTTAATCCTTGTATATCCTTAAAGGGGAAGTGAGTTTCTTATAGGCAGCATCAGTTAGGTCTTGTTTTTTTAATCATGTTTTTCAAGTTGAGATTTATGTATGTATTTTCAGAAGTCTGCAAATTCTTAATGAGATTCTCCATGAGAATTCTAAAATTTCATCTTCCCACTTTTATATATATATATTTTTTGAGATGGAATCTCGCTCTGTCGCCTGGGCTGGAGTGTAGTGGCACGATCTCAGCTCACTGCAACCTTTGCCTCCAGGTTCAAGCAATTCTCCTGCCTCAGCCTCCTGAGTAGCTGGGATTACAGGCGTGCACCACCACACCCGGTTAATTTTTGTATTTTTAGTAGAGATGGGGTTTCACCATGTTGGTCAGGCTGGTCTCGAACTCCTGACCTCAGGTGATCCAACCACCTTGGCCTCCCAAAGTGCTGGGATTACAGGCATGAGCCACTGCACCTGGCCTATTATTTTTAATTAATATATATTTATACAGGAGGACAGCCTGTTACTATTGTCACCAAATTTCAGTAAGTAATGAGAAAAGTATTAGTAAACTTAATAGGTACATTATACAAATGATGTCAAACAGAGGCAGACCAAATACCTAAATTATATGTTATGACAAGTTACTTTACAATATGGCCAATAGAATTTTTTAAACCAATATTTCAAATACAAAAATAGGACTGAGAGATTTAAGCAAACACACACTACATAGTAGGAAAGTCTAGTCAAATTAAGAAATAAACTTTCCTATAACAAGTAGAAAATAAGTTATAAGTGGTGATGTCATTTCAACAAAACCCAACCTGAAATTAAAATTAATTTATTAATTTGATTTTAACCCTTCTAGCCATATTTTATTATTTTTAACTGTTTTGTTTATAGCTGGGTACGAACTTATGAGCACAAGGAGATTCTGAGCTCATAGGTTCACATATTTAAGAAACATTAAAGTAACAATTCATCTCTGGAGGTTAAGACCTTATTTTCTCTTCAAAAAAAGTCTATGTATGAT
Source organism: Homo sapiens (assembly GCF_000001405.40). Classification (NCBI taxonomy): domain Eukaryota; kingdom Metazoa; phylum Chordata; class Mammalia; order Primates; family Hominidae; genus Homo; species Homo sapiens. Next base: position 151,977,524 of record NC_000007.14, read on the forward strand.
TCAAGTTTTTAAAATTGTGATTTATGTTTTTCTTTTTTGTATTATCTTCATCAGATTTTGATATCAGACTTATACTAGCTTTATAAAATGAATTTGAAAGTTTTTGACTCTCTGAAATAATTGGGATAATATGATAATCACCTATTATGTTGAAATAGCACTTGCTTGGTAATTATGAATCACCAGTGCATTTTTTAGTGGTAGACATTGATAAACTTGCACATTACTCTAAAGTTATTGTTCTACTCAAGCTTTCTATTTCTAGGGGCTATTTAGGACACTGTTGTAATAAAACTTTATTCCACCTATTTCTCAAATTTATTGGCAAAAGTTGTGTATCTTATTTCCCTAATTACTATCATCTCCGCTAGTACCATACCTTCTTTCTCATTTTTTATTGTATGTTTTCCCACTCTCTTTTTAAGTTTGATGTGCATTGTTTTGTCTTTCAAAAAGCCAACTTTTGATTATACTTACTAATTTTACTTTTTTGTCTTCCAATTCATTAATTTCTAGTTATCTTTATTGGTTCATTTTTATTTCTTTTGGTTTATCCTGTTTTTCTTGCTAGTTTATAAGGTTAGTTTGATTATTTTACCGCTTTGTGGTATAATAATACATTTATAAATATTCATTTTATTCAGATTTAAATTTTAGCCATATCTCTTAGATTTAACATGATAGGCTTTCATTTTTAATTTCTATATAATTTACAATTTTTAACTTCCTCTGATCCAAAAATTATTTGGAGAAATCCATTTTTTTAATTGGATTTGAACAAATGAATAGCCATTTACAAATTAGCTTAGCAGTCATCTATCACCATCTTTTTCTAATGTGCTTAAAAGATTGTCGTTGTAAGAGTGCCTGTGCCTGGTGGACTATTTCCACTCAAAATACAGCCTGAAAACCAACAGCACTGACAGCCCCTGGGAGCTTGCTAGCCATGCAGAATCTCAGGCCCCTACCCAAATCTCCTTAATCAGAATCTGCAGTCAGCAAGAACCCCAGTTGAGACTGATGCATGGTAAAATTTGGTATCCAAATATTGGTTTGGTAGGGCTGCTATAAGAAAGTACCATCAGCTGGGTAGCTTAGACAACAAAAATTATTCTCTCTCAGTTTTGGAGGCCAGAAATCTGAAATCAAGTTGTTGGCAGGATTGCTCGCCTCTGAGAGCTGTAAAGAAATTAGGCTCTGTTCCAGACGTCTCTCCTTGGCTTATAGATGGCCGTCTTCTCCCTATAACTCTTAACGTCATCTTCCCTTTGTATATGTCTGTCTCTGGGTTCAAATTTCCCCTTTTTGTAAGAACATGAGTCATATTGGATTAGGGCCTACCCTAATGAGCTCACCTTACTAATTATCTCTACAACAGCTCTTTTTCCAAATAGGATCACATTCTGAGGTCCTGGGGACTAGAACTTCACTATATGAATTTTGGAAGACACAATTCAGCCTAAAAGAGTCCTGCTTTGTACTGAACTATTATTAATGTATAAGGTCAGCAATGTGTAAGGTTAGCAAATTTATATGATCAGCTAATTGAGGACAACCAAAGGCCATCCAAATTACTTTTACTCTTTTTTTTTTTTTTTTTTTTGGAGATGGAGTCTCACTCTGTCACCCAGGCTGGAGTGCAGTGGTGCCATCTCGGCTCACTGCAAGCTCCACCTCCCGGGTTCACGCCATTCTCCTTCCTCAGCCTCCCAAGTAGCTGGGACCACAGGTGCCCGCCACCACGCCCAGCTAATTTTTTTTTTTTTTTTGTAAGTAGAGACGGGGTTTCACCATGTTAGCCAGGATGGTCTTGATCTCCTGACCTCGTGATCTGCCTGCCTCAGCCTCCCAAAGTGCTGGGATTACAGGTGTGAGCCACCACGGCCGGCCTCCTTTTACTCTTAAAAACAGCTTTCTTAGGTCCCAGCAAGGATTTTTTTTGGTGGGGGGAGGGGGGCAGAGTTTTGCTCTTGTTGCCCAAGGTAGAGTGCAATGGCAGGATCTTGGCTCACTGCAACCTCCACCTCCCGGGTTCAAGAGATTCTCCTGCCTCAGCCTCCCAAGTGGCTGGGATTACAGGCACCCGCCACCACGGCTAATTTTTTGGATTTTTAGTAGAAATGGGGTTTCACCATGTTAGCCAGGCTGGTCTTGAACTCCTGACCTCTGGTGATCCGCCCACCTTGGCCTCCCAAAGTGCTGGGATTACAGGCATGAGCCACTGCACCTGGCCAGGAAAGTTTTTATAGACATACCACAGCAACATTTGTTGATCTATTTTTGAGAAACCCACACACACCAGGTTCTCTTGGGGGTCTAAAGAGTCCTCATGTGAGTTTCAGGCTCCTCCACCAACATCAAACTGAAGGGACGCAGTTTATTTCCAGTTTTCTTAAAGTGATACACCCAGGACTGACTATAACATCAGAGATGTGATTTTAGCAGCAGAAGTCATCCTGGACCACCACTTCTCTTATTCATGGTATTGGCCTTCCGTTAATTCAGTCTAGTATCATATTTTCTCTTTCTCTCCTACTTTCTGTCTCTCAACTCAATGATCTTACTGGAATATTTTTTTGAGACAGAGTCTCAATCTGTTGCCCAGGCTGGAGTGCAGTGGCGCCATCTTGGCTCACTGCAACCTCCGCCTTCTGGGTTCAAGTGATTCTCCTGCCTCAGCCTCCTGAGAAGCTGGGATTACAGTCATGCACCACCACGCCCAGCTAATTTTTGTATTTTTAATAGAGAAGGGGTTTTGCCATGTTGGCCAGGCTGCTCTCAAACCCCTAACCTCAGGTGATCTGCCCGCCTTGGCCTCCCAAAGTGCTAGGATGACAGGCGTGAGCCATTTAAGCCTTTTAATTATTTTTCCACATGTTTCTGCACAGCCGCGTTTTCCCACTCACCGTTACAGACCCAAGTGCAGACGGTGCAGGTGCCCTCATTCCCATCTGTTCCGGTGCTTCCTTGGCCCTGTCCCTCGGACTCTCCATTCCCTTGAGTCTGATGTCAGTTCCACTCAGTGGGCATGACTTCTCTGTCTTCATCTTGTCTTGGATAAAAAGGAAGACGAGGACAAGGCCCTCTCCTTCCCTGGTGACTTCATTTTGTGAGTACCCTGAGGGGACTGTCCAGGATGCCCATAGGATTGCCTGCCCAGCACTCCTTTCCCACTGTTTTTCCCCTTTCCGTGTGATTGCAGTGCTAACAATGATTTTTTTTTTTTTTTTTTTTTTTTTTGAGATGGAGTCTCGCTCTGTCGCCCAGGCTGGAGTGCAGTGGCGGGATCTCGGCTCACTGCAAGCTCCGCCTCCTGGGTTCACGCCATTCTCCTGCCTCAGCCTCCCAAGTAGCTGGGACTACAGGCACCCGCCACTGCGCCCGGCTAAATTTTTGTATTTTTAGTAGAGACGGGGTTTCACCGTGTTAGCCAGGATGGTCTCGATCTCCTGACCTCGTGATCCGCCCTCCTCAGCCTCCCAAAGTGCTGGGATTACAGGCTTGAGCCACCGCGCCCGGCCACAATGATTTTTTTATTTCAACTCAATTTTCTGGCCCCAGTTGATTAACCCAGGGATGGGGCACCTATGGCAAGCTGGGCCAGTGAATCTTTTCCAGTCAATATTTGATCTTGGAAAAGGTAAAGTCCCACCAGTTTCTCCTTGGGTCCTTGCCTATAAGAAATGCTGATGTCAATCACATTTCCCACTAAAGAAGTGGAAAAAGCCCAGGTGCAGAGGAAGAATCATAATCATGTAATGCGCCTTCTATCTGAATACTTACTGCGTGCCAGGCACTGCTCTAAGTGTTGTAGGCATGTTAATTCATTGCATCTTCACAGCCCTTGGAGGTAGGTTGATATCGCTATTATTATTTTTCCCAAATGTAAACACAAAAGCAGAGATAGAGAGTGTCCAGACATCATTCAAGCCTCTAGTTCTAATCATTCCTTGAGGCTCCAGCTGCTGCAGCTTCTAGGTCCTGTGAGACATTTGAGTCAGCTCACAATACATCTCTCTTCCCTTCCTTCCTTCCTTCCTTCCTTCCTTCCTTCCTTCCTTCCTTCCCTCCTTCCTTCCTTCCCTCCTTCCTTCCTTCCTTCCTTCCTCCCTTTCTCTCTCTCTCTCTCCCTCCCTCCCTCCCCCTCTTCTTTCTTTCTTTTTTTTTTTTTTTTGGATGCAGTGGTATGGTCTTGGCTCACTACAACTTCTCTCTCCCAGGTTCAAAATATTCTCTGCCTTAGCCTCCTAAGTAGCTGGAACTACGAGTGCGTGCCACCACATCTGGCTAATTTTTGTATTTTTAGTAAAGACAGAATTTTGCCATGTTGTCCAGGCTGGTCTCGAACTCCTGACCTCATGTGATTCACCCACCTCAGCCTCCCAAAGTGCCAGGATTACAGACATGAGCCACTGTGCCAGCCACAGCTCCTTTTCTTTTGCTAAAGTTAGCTCCAGCAGATTTCTTTAATTTACAACCAAAATATTTCAGTATACAACTAAATAATATATCTAAATAATAATTAATAACTAATATTACTAGAATTCCAGAATTCAGCTTCTATATTTCCCTCATATGCACACACACAAAAAAATAAAGTATTCTGGGGCCAGGGACATTGGCTCATGCCTGTAATCCCAACACTTTGGGAGGCTGAGGCAGGTGGATCACCTGAGGTCGGGAGCTCAAGACCAGCCTGGCCAACATGGTGAAACACTGTCTCTACTAAAAACATAAAAAATTAGCCAGGCATGGTGGTGCATGCCTGTAATCCCAGCTACTCGGGAGGCTGAGGCAGGAGAATCGCTTGAACCCAGGAGGCAGAGGTTGCAGTGAGCCAAGATGACACCATTACACTCCAGCCTGGGCAACAAGAGTGAAACTCCATCTCAAAAAGAATGAATAAATAAAAATGAAATAAAGCATTTTTGTCAAATATTCAGAAGAAATCCAATTAGACCATATCTGCTATACTTTTTTGTTGCGACAGACTCCACAAATATAAGAATAAAGTTGGAGTTTTCTCTGAAGACAGCACAATAAAGTTAATGTACACTTTTTAATGTGTGAGCTTAATAATTCATTTTTATCTGTCCTGCCATGGTGACAGCAAAAAAAAAAAAAGATAAAACTAATTCATTTTTATAACAGAAGCTAATACATGAATATAATTTGTGTTTATACTATGTTTAAAATAGAACTGAGATTATCAACACAGTCTCAGGAAAGAGCAATTATTACTGACATTAAGAAGGGGGAAATTATTCAGAAAATATTAGAACAACATAAGAAGTTAAATAAATTTTTGTGTTTTTAGATGTACTGTCACCTTATTACCATAATTATCAGTTGAAGGAGTAAAGAGTCAAAAAGATGCAAATAAGGAGAAGTGTTTGAACGAGATGACACAACATCCAAGGCATTTAGATGGATGGTTTTCTTCATATTGCTTCTGCCTGCAGGTGTCTTCAAAAACATTACCCAGCCCGCCTCCCGACTGCCAGCATTGTCATTTGCTTCTATAATGAAGAATGTAATGCCTTGTTTCAGACCATGTCCAGTGTCACGAACCTCACGCCACACTATTTTCTTGAAGAAATTATTTTGGTAGATGACATGAGCAAAGTTGGTAAGATAGAACACTCATTATCTCATCTACTTTGTTGTTGTTGTTGTTGAGATTTCCCTCTGTCACCCAGGCTGGAGTGCAGTGGTACCATCTCGGCTCACTGCAACCTCTGCCTCCTGAGTTCAAGCGATTCTCCTGCCTCAGCCTCCCGTGCAGCTGGGATTACAGGTGCATGCCACCACGCCCGGCTAATTTTTGTATTTTTAGTAGAGACGGGGTTTCACCATGTTGGTCAGGCTGGTCTCGAACTCCTGATCTCAAGTGATCTGTCCGCCTCAGCCTCCCAAAGTGCTGGAATTACAGGTGTGAGCCACGACGCCTGACCATCTAATCTACTCTGAAGGTAGTGCGCTCCCCGATGGCACTTGAGTATTTTGTACAAAAAAATCTTTTTGGTGGGTATTGGGGCAGGCACTGCACTAGGGGCTCTTGGTATATGGTGGACATGTGAGACCTGGGCCCTGTACTTGGGCCCATGGCAGAGGGGTGGAGGGGCGGTGCTTCCATAAGGCAAACATAGGGGCACCGGCCACATCCTTGGAGATAACTTCAGGAAGAAGTGACATGTCAACTGAGGTCTGAATGATGAGTTGTAATGATCTAGGTGGAGAGGAAGGAAAAAGTGTTTTTGGTAGCTTAAGCAGCATCGTAAAGGCCCAGAGGTAAGAGAAGCCATAGAGAGCTTGAAATACATGCTACCATATTTTATGTAGTCTATGCATGAGTATAGAGTTGCAGGGGGGAGGTGGGCAAAACCAGAGTTATTAAAAGGGAACTCCCAGCCCAGCCTGGTGGCTCACACCTGCAATCCCAGCACTTTGGGAGGCCAAGGTGGGCAGATCCCTCGAGCTCAGGAGCTCCAGAGCAGCCTGGGCAACATGGCAAAACCCCATCACTTAAAAAAAGCAGGGCACGGGGGGTAACTGCTCATAAAGCGCATTATTTGAATTTTATCTTGAAGCTATGAGGAGCTATTAAGGGCTTAATGCAGGAAAATGAGATGATCTAGGAATTCCATGAAAGAAGCGGAATCAGACCAACTGCAGTTAAGTGTGTATTCTTTCATGCTTACTGGTTTTAAAGAATTGTGATACTAGCACTAGTTAACTACACTTAGAATTGGAAATTACTCACCTAATTTACAATGGAGTACAAACCTTAGGCAAGCCAGGAGTACCAAAGCAATGATGTCAATATTAAGTAAGTTTCAGGCTGAAAGTCAACCCAATCCACTCTAAATGTGACCCACTATGAGCTCAGAAACAAAAAGATGAGGAGAAGCAGTAGGAAGAACAGGCAGAGGAAGAAACCATCCCATGAGGTTCACCCTGCGGGGAAGTGACTCTAGGTGACTCCTGAATGTGACTCAAGTCACTGGCAGTTGTGTGGTGGAAATGTAGATGTTGGCCAGGCACCTATCGTAAATAACACTGTTTCTAAGGGGGTCACCAATGTCTGAGGGCACAGGACTGTCTATTTCTAGCCTTGTGCATGGGAAGAGTGTGGAGTGAGGGCCTGGCTTCCCTGCTGCCCCTGTGACCCACGCTGCCTCTTCTGCTCAAAAGACTGAGCAGCATGTTTGGTGACTTGCTGGGCAAGAAGTCACTGGGAAAGCCACCAGCAGGGGACAGGGTGGGATAACCTGATGGATTGTGGAATTCTAACTTCTCACCCAGAAGTACAAGAATGCTGCCATGGAGACACAGTGCCAGGAATGACCAGGGGACGGATACCTCCCCCAGCCTTTCAGAACCACACCATGAATTTGGAGACGTAACTGGTGTCTTATCAGCTTGGCTGCTGTAACAAAATGCCACAAACTGGGTGGCTTAAACAACAAACATTTATTTCTTAGAGTCCTGGAGGTTGGAAGTCCGAGATGAGGGTGCCAGCAGGATCGAGTTCTTAGAGTGGGCCCTCTTCCTGGGTGATAGACAGCCATCTTTTTGCTATGTCCTCATGTTGTGGAAAGAGAGCAAGCTAGCTCCATCACCCAGTTATGCCTCTGCAAGGCCCCACCTGCAAATACCATCATACTGAGGGGTACTTTGAATTTTGGTGGGGACACAAACATACCGGCCGTAAGATCTGTCAACGTTCTCATACATTCATCACACATTGTGGTCCCCTTTATGAGAGACTAGGGGGTCGCTGCTGCCAACATGTGGGTGTGCTTCCCAACCAGACACCTCTGCTTCTCCTCCTCTATCTGAGCCTTTGACCCACACAGAGCCTTAAACACAGGACTAGGGTGTTCTAGGCTCTGATGGAGCTCAGGTTGACACCTTCCTCCTTTAATTCACGGTGACTTCATCATGGGTTTAAGGACAATTTCTTCAACAAAACCCTGTCTGTCCCAGCTGACACCTATAGGTATGGCCGATAGACTCCTCAGCTTGGGGGAGCAGGGCCAGGGGCCCAGGGAACTGCTCCCACTGAGCTACACAAATGGCCTGTCCATGACCTGCTGCCATCCACTTTTCCCATAGTCCTGGTCCCTCTAGACTGCAAGCCAACAACATGACCATCTTCTGAAAAACCCACACCCTCCACTTCATGTCAGTGACTGCTGCTGCCTTAACTGCCTTTATCTCCTCCAGGGCCTGGCTCATGGCGTCCCACTTTTCCCTCCTCTTGCTGCCTCCTACATCCTGGATGTGAGTGAGGTGTCTGGAGATCTTTGAGCTGAGATGCTGCCCAGGCCTGCAAGTGCAGCTATGCAGCCTGTATCCCTGCCTCTTTCTAAAAACAAGGAAGAAGATCCCTCCTTCTGCTGGGATTACCATGAACCTGTTCCTGTTCAACCTGCCCCTGACCCAGATTGCTGGGACTTAGGAATTTAGACCTCTGAGGTACCTGCATCCATCTCACCTGGTCCCAGCCTCCTTTATCATCATTGTATTAACTTCCAAATATTAAGTGACTATTGGGTGCCAGGCTCTGTGCTGGGTGATATATTTCTTCTTCCTCATACCAGAGTACTGCCGGGAACATGATGGTCATCCCTTCTCTCAGCTGAGGAAACTAAGACTCTCGTGGTTCGATAACTTTCCCAAGAGCTACTGAAAAATTAGAAGCACAGATAGTAGCAAACCCAGATTGCGCCAAAGCTCTATAATGCATGGTTTTTCTATTAAAATGTTAATAGTGATTTACTAAAATAGAGTTATTTCACTAGAACCATAGAATAATATTTACAGGGCGAGGCGTGGTGGCTCACGCCTATAATCCCAGAACTTTGGGAGACCAAGATGGGAGGATCCCTTGAGGCCAGGAGTGCAAGACCAGCCTGGGCAATGTAGCAAGACCCTATTGCTACAAAATATTTAAAAATTAGCCAGGTGTTGTGGTGCATACCTGTAGTCCCAGCTACTCAGGACATTGAGGCACGAGGATTGCTTGATCCTGGGAGGTCAAGGCTGCAGTGAGCTATGATCATGCCACTGCACTCCAACGTTGGTAACAGAATGAGGCCCTGTCTCAACAAAAACGAAACAAAAAGAAAAATATTTACAGTTGATTTTGATAATGAATCACTTGTGTTTCTCTCCCTTAAATGGGATAAAAATTCTATCTTTTTTTTTTTTTTTTTGAGATAGGGTTTTGCTCTTGTTGCCCAGGCTAGAGTGCAATGGGGCCATCTCGGCTCACTGCAACCTCTGCCTCCCGGGTTCAAGCGATTCTTTTGCCTCAGCCCCGAGTACCTGGGATTACAGGCGCCCACCACTATGCCCGGCTAATTTTTGTATTTTTAGTAGAGAGGGGGTTTTCACCATGTTGGCCAGGCTGGTCTCGAACTCCTGACCTCAAGTGATCTGCCTGCCTCGGCCTCCCAAAGTGCTGGGATTACAGGCATGAGACACCACACCTGGCCCCAAAATTCTCTTTTAAAGTTAGAACTTCTGTGGAATAGCATGGATTTTAGGAATACGTCATAATGATGATACACTGTTTCAATTTCTATAGTTGCCGTTTATACATTCTCATGTGTTGAATATTTTTCCAGATGATTTGAAAGAAAAACTAGACTATCACCTGGAAACTTTTCGGGGAAAGGTTAAAATAATAAGAAACAAAAAGAGAGAGGGGCTGATTCGAGCAAGGCTGATTGGAGCTTCTCATGCTTCAGGTAGGAACATTCCTGGGGACAAGAGCCAGTGACGGCGTCACAGAGATCTTCCCTTCTGAGCGGGACTCCTCTGCAGGGAGACCTTCTATGTCTGTGTCTGCTTCATCAGAAGAGTGGAAATCTATTCCAGCCATATGAGCCTTTAATCTTCTTTTGCCTCTGAAAGTGTTCTGCTTTGAAATGTCAATTTGCTATTTTGGGTTGAAGATATTCTTTCGCAGGGACGTTAATGTCAGCCCCTCTCACAGGCTGAGTTCCCCAGTACAAACTCTGAAATGGAGTTTCAACCACAGGGGACCCACTGGGAGCCACAAGAGTGAGGAGAGCAAGACTGGGGGTGGGGTGGGCGGGAGGGAGCTGCAGCGCTCATCCACGGGGACCTCTGAAGCCAGGACCCCACAATGAAATAAGAGAAAGAGTTTATGGGGCAAGAGATAGGAGAACAGAAGAAAAAGTGTGAGCTGATGCTTCTGACCCGACACACGTGGAGGAGGACAGAGAAGGAAGGAAGTTTATCTTGAAGCGCTTCAGACAAGGTGCAGGTCTCAGAAAGGCTCAGTGGGCTAGGGGGAGCCCCATTGCAAAGGCTGCCCGTTAGGGAGACCTGCAATGGGACCGGGTGGCGCATCTCCACTTCCTCCCAACCACCACCCTCACACTGTGCTTGGTCATTGGGTGGCAGCACCCTGGGAACGGCATGACCTTGACATGAGCTTCAGTAGATCCGAAAACTTTGGCAGTGGGAAGCACTCAAATCCGTCCCCTGCAGCAGGTTCTTGTGAAGGGACATCCGAGCAGCACACTCCCAGGGCTGCCCCAAGAGCCATTCAGAGGGATCCCAGTTCCAGGTAAGGGGACCAGGCATGGACCAGTCATTGGATATGAACACTGCCCTCCCCTGGGGGCAGGTATGACCTTGGTAGCCATGGCTGGCCAAGGGCAGTTTCTGGGGAGGGACTTTGTTGTGAACCATTGGCTGTCAACGCTGCTGGGCGGCTGAGTCCCAGGAGCATCTGAGCAGCTTGATAGAGAGCCCAGGCCTCCTACGATCACGCCTCCTGCCGCATGTAGGGGAATGTTGGCAGAACGCTGAGCTGGAACCACGGGAGGCGAATCATTTGTAAGGGCATTCCTCAGGCTGCATTGCAAGCTGATGAAATGTCCCTGCTCCTTAGCAGGAAACACCTCCTTAAGGAATGGAAGGACAAAAGAAAAAAAACAAAATTGGACTCTCTTTTTCCATGTTGCCCTGGTCGGTGGACACATTCTCTTATTTAACTGCAAAGATAATACATGTTCATTGTCCAAAACCCAAGAGAAACCAAACACAATATGGAGAGCATCTTTTCAGACCCGCGTTTTTATGCATTTATAGATATATACATATATATGCACGTGTGTATACACAGGGTTAAGGATTTTTATTTATTTTACTTTTTTTTTTTTTTGAGACAGTTTCCCTCTGTCACCCAGGCTGGAGTGCAATGGCACAATCTGTAACCTCCTCCCACTGGGCTCAAGCAATTCTCCTGCCTCAGCCTCTCAAGTAGCTGGGATTACAGGTGCCCGCCACCATGCCGGCTAATTTTTGTACTTCTAGTAGAGACGGGGTTTTGCCATGTTGGCCAGGCTGCTCTTTAACTCCTGGCCTCAAGTGATCTGCCCACCTCGGCTTCCCACAGTGCTGAGATTACTGTCGTGAGCCACCACGACTGGCCTGGGATTTTTAAATACATGGAATCATACTGTCTGTACTGTCCTGAGACTTACTCGTTTATTTTTAATTTTTGGAACTTTTCCCATGACAGTACTTAAGAGTTACTTCAGTTTTGAATTGCTGTGTTGTATGATATTTCATATGGATTTTATTTTTTCTCTTTTTTTTTTTTAGACAGTCTCGCTCTGTCACCCAGGATGGAGTGCAGTGGTGTGATCTCAGCTCACTGCAACCTCCATCTCCCAGGTTTAAGTGATTCTCCTGCCTCAGCCTCCCCCAAGAGCTGGGATTATAGGTGGGCGCCACCACACCCAGCTAATTTTTTTGTATTTTTAGTAGAGACGGGGTTTCGCCATGTTGGCCAAACTGGTCTCTAACTCCTGACCTCAAATGATCCGCCCACCTCGGCCTCCCAAAGTGTTGAGATTACAAGTGTGAGCCACTGTGCTCAGCCCATATGGATTTTATAATTGATTTTCATAACTTGTTTAGCCATTTCTGAATAGGTTATTTTTCTTTTTTACTATTACCTAAAAAATGCAGCAGTTACAATTCATGAACATATATCTTTGTGTGATTGATTGTGCCTGTAAGATAAATTCCTAAAAGTGGAATTGCTGGGAATAAGGGAATTTTTATTTTAAATTTTGAAAGATAATGCCAAATTGTCCTTGAAAAGTTTCACCAATTAACAATCTCATCACACAGATAAATTGCCCTTTCTCTGCAGCCAGAGATGAATATGGCCCGTCTTTTTAATGTTTGCCACAGTTGGCCAAAAAATAGGCTACCTTTTCTTTTCTTGGTATTACCAGCCATCAAATTTTTTCATATTTTCATAGATTGCTTACAGATCATTTTTCTGTCGATTTATCTGTTCATATTCTTTGCCAATGTTTCTAATGTGTTGTTTGTCTTTTTGTTATTGATTCAAACATGGCCTTATAACAGAAATTCTATATTATGAACACTGAGAATATCGGTCCTCAGGCTAGAGCCTATCTTTTCTTCTCCTCTGGGGTTGTCTTGTGTTGAGCAGAATTTTATTTATTTATTTATTTTGAGATAGGGTCTCACTCTGTTGCCCAGGCTGGAGTGCAGTGGCACAATCTCGGCTCACTGCAACCTTCGCCTCCTGGGTTCAAGTGATTTTTGTGCCTCAGCCTCCTGAGTAGCTGGGATTACAGGTGCCTGCCACCTCACCCAGCTAATATTTTGTATTTTTAGTACAGAAGGGGTTTCACCATATTGGCCAGGCTAGTCTCGAACTCTTGGCCTCAAGTGGTCTACCTGCCTCGGCCTCCTGAAGTGTTGGGATTACAGGCATGAGCCATTGTGCCTGGCTAGAAATTTTTAAGTCTTTAAGTTCACCAGAAAGCCCACTTCACTGGCTAACACAGTGAAACCCCTTCTCTACTAAAAATACAAAAATATTAGCCGGGCGTGGTGGCGGGCGCCTGTAGTCCCAGCTACTCGGGAGGCTGAGGCAGGAGAATGGCGTGAACCCGGGAGGCGGAGCTTGCAGTGAGCCGAGATTGCGCCACTGCACTCCAGCCTGGGCGACAGAGCGAGACTCCATCTCAAAAAAAAAAAAGCCCACTTTCTCTTGCTGGGCACAGGGCTAGACTGAACTTCCTAGCCTCTCTTCAATAGGAATAGCCTTGTGACTAAGTTTTAGCCATGGGATGTGAGTGCAAGTAACATGTACCATTTCCCGACCAAGGCTCTTAGGAAGCTGGTCTGTCCCCTCCACACTCATTTCCTGTTCTGGCTGACTGGGGCCAAGATGACTAAGTGACTTTGGAGGCTCTGGGTTGAAGAGCCTCCGCCAGCCTGCATCCCTGAATGACCACATGGAGGGCTTCCCTCAATCAGGAGCACCCGCCTTGGATGGCTAAATGCGTAGAAATAAACTTCCATTGCATTTGAGCCATTATCATTTTGGAATCTTATTATTATAATAGTAGCTAGCTTTAACATAATAAAAAACAAACATATCAATATTTTTCCTTTATGATTTTTGGGTTTTGTCTCCTGTTCAAAAAAATTCTTCCTTACCCTGCGATCATGATGATACTGTTCTTTTTGTTGTTGTTGTTGTTTGTTGTTGTTGAGATGGAGTCTCGCTCTGTCGCCCAGGCTGGAGTGCAATGGCGTCATCTCGGCTCACTGCAACCTCAGCCTCCCGGGTTCAAGTGATTCTCCTGCCTCAGCCTCCCAAGTAGTTGGGATTACAAGCACCCACCACCACACCCGGCTAGTTTTTGTATTTTTAGTAGAGACGGGGTTTCGCCATGTTGGTCAGGCTGGTCTCAAGTTCCCGACCTCAGGTGATCCGCCTGCCTCAGCCTCATAGTGCCGGGATTACAGGCGTGAGCCACTGCGCACGGCCTGATACTCTTCTTTAGTTTCTTCCTCATGTAAAAAAAAATTGATTTTTACATTAAACTTTGAGTCTACCTGGAACTGTTTGTTCTGCAAACGGTGTAAATTAAGAATGTAATGTAATTTTTTTCAGAATGAATAGCCAGTTTTCCCACACCGTTCATTGAATAGTCCACCATTTCTTCATTGGTTGCAATGCTATTTTTATCATTTTATCAAATGTCTATGTATTCCTGGGTCTATTTCCAGCATCTCTCTTCTGCTCTATGATGGTATTTTTGTATTTCTAGGCTAATCACGCTGTCTCTTGATTAGTACAGCTTGATAAGAAGTTTTTATATCTTCTTATTTTCTTGATAAGAAGATTTGTAGGACAAATCTTTCCACTTCATTCTGCAAGTGTCTTAGCTAGGATTGTCTTATCAAGTTCCAGGAAAAACGTGTTGAGATTTTCACTGGAATTGTATAGAGATGATAGATTAAAATGGGAAAGAATTTACATATTTTTGATGATAAATGTCCCCACCCATGGACATTTATTCAGATCTGCTTTTATATTCATTTGGTGTTTTGTCATTTGCTCTATAGATATTATGTGCAAAGATTTATTTCTGTTTATCTTGATTTTTTGGTTGTTGTTTTAAAAATTGTGATTTGGGACCTTCTTGTTATATTTTTAAATTATTACTGGTACATAGGAATGAGATCTTTTGGTATATTTGATCTTGTAAATAGAAACCTCAGTAAACTCTTAGTCGTTAGTGGTTGGTGGGTAGAGTCGCTTGCATTTTCTATCACCTGAAGGTAATTTTCCTTCTACCTCTAATGTTGATTAGAAGTGGCGGCAGCAGGCATCCTTTCTGCTTTTGACTTTCATGGGAATAATTCTGACTTATCATTTAGTTACTATGTTGATGTGTATTAGTTTCCTAGGACTGTTATAATGAAGTAGCACAAACAGGTGGCTTAAAACAACAGAAATTCATTTTTTCCCAGTTCTAGAGGCCAGAAGTCCAAAATCAAGGTGTGAGCAGGACCTCACTCCTTCTGAGACCTGCAGGGGAGGCTCCTTCCCTGCCTCTTCAGCTTCTGGCCGTGGCTGCCAGTCCCGGGCTGCAGCGGCGTCACCCTCGGCTCCGCCTCTCTGTTCACAGGCGTCCTCCCTGTGTGTCTGTGTCTGTGTCTTTGTCTCCCCCAACCGAATCTCAGAAGGACTCCAGTCACATTGAATGAAGGGCTCGCTCTACCCTGGTATGACCTCATTGCATCTGCAAAGACTCTGTTTCCAGATAAAGACACATTTTGAGGTTCCTGGGTTAGGACTTGAAAATATCGTTTTGGGGAACACAGTTCAACCCGTAGCACTACGGTCTGGATTGTTTTTGTTTAAAAGGGGAGTCTTATTTTTTTTATTTTGAAAATTTTCAAACCCACATAATACCCATAGAAATGCTCCCCTAGAGTCACTAGGTGTAGATGTAAATATCTCACAACACCCACTTCACACACGTGCTCTCCGCCCCTTCTCACCCCACGCACACGCATCGCATCTGTGTTCAAAAGTAAGATGCGGACTGGACACGATGGCTCATGCCTAGAATCCCCGCACTTTGAGAGGCCGAGGCGGGCGGATCACCTGAGGTCGGGAGTTCGAGACTGGTCTGACCAACAGGGAGAACCCCCATCTCCACTAAAAATACAAAAACTAGCCAGGTATGGTGGCACATGCATCCATAGCTACTCAGGAGGCTGAGGCAGGAGAATTGCTTGAACCCAGGAGGTGGAGGCTGCAGTGAGCCAAGATCATGCCATTGCACTCCAGCCTGGGCAACAGAGTGAGACCATGTCTCAAAAAAAAAAAAAAAAGGAAGATGCGTTTATGATTTTCTTTGTTTGTACTGTGTTCTTATACTTTTCACTTTACCAGACTCATAGAACAAATTGTATGGTTTTTCTTTTTTTCTAAAAATTTACATAAGACAGAGATTGACTGTGTGTGGGAACTTGCAGAGAACTGGCCAATAAACTGCACAGGCACTGGTGTCTTTTTTGATTTCCTCTTTAATCCACATTGTCTTCTTTTTTTTAGGAGTGATTTTGAAAGTTTCCAAACGATTTTCAGAGATTTTAAAAATTATTTGTTAATTATTTATTACTAAACTGTATTGTGGTCAGAAATTTGAAATTTCTGTTGTGGCTTAAGCTAGGTCAGTTTTTCACAATGTCTATGTGTATTTTATACTTTTTTTCTTTCTGAGACAGGATCTCTCTCTGTCACCCACGCTGGAGTGCAGTGGAGTATCGAAGCTCACTGCAGCCTCGAACTCCTGGGGTCAAGTGATCCTCCCACCTTAGCCTCTCAAATGTTGGAATTGCAAGCAGGAGTCACCACACCTGGCCTATTTTTTTAATTTTTGGTAGAGATGTGGTCTCACTGTCCTGCCCAGGCTGGTCTCAAACTCCTGGTCTCAAGCAATATTCTCCCATCTTAACCTCTCAAAGTGCTGGGATTACAGGCATGAGCCACCACACATGGCTCTTCTATGTGTATTTTCAAAGAATGTATATTTTTTCTTTATGGTTGTAGGTTCTGTGTGTGTGTATATATGTATAATTTTGTTCATATCTTTGATGATGGAATTCGACTTCATTTCTAAGTTTCTTAGAGTTGTACTGAAACCTTCAGCTATGACTGTGGATGTGTGCACCTACTTCTCCTGGCCCTTTGCCAGCACTTGCCATCTCTCAGCCTGTCTGTTCCCTACACCCCCAAGTGATGTAGGTGGCTGCCTGAGCCAGGCGTGCTCCTGAGTCACAAGTATGGGATCCTGTTGTGTGGGCAGGTGAGGCAGCAGCCAGCGGCCCTTCCTTAACTTATCTCTTGCCGACTGTGTGCTACCCATGCACATTTATTCTTTTCTTTTTTTCTTTTTTATCAACTCTATTGAGATGCAAACTGTACCTACTGAGCCTGGAGACGGGTTTTCACGTGATGTTCATGTGCGCACACTCCTTTGGAGCCAGGTCATCTTCCTGGGAGCTATTTGCATTATTACAAAGCGACGCTGTCTCTCCAGTAGGGCCTGCCGTGATGTGCTCCCTGCTTTCCCTGACCTTTCCCTTCCTTCCTCCCTCACCCACCCACCAGCTGCACGGGCCTTCCTGCTTCTCTCCCAGCCTGCCAAGCCTCATCCCGTCTCAGAGCCTCTGCCCGTGATTGGCTTCCCCTGGAACGTTCTTCTCTCAGGCATCTGCATGACCTGTTATCTTACTTTGTTCAGTTCTCTGATCAAATGCCACTTTATCACCATAGTCTTTCAAACCACCCCATATTAAATAGCAGACTCCTATCCCTCTCTATCATCACCCTTACCCCCAATTTTTTTTTTTTTTTGACAGAGTCTCGTTCTGTCCCCCAGGCTGGAGTGCAGTGGCGCGATCTCGGCTCACTGCAAGCTCCGCCTCCCGGGTTCACACCATTCTCCTGCCTCAGCTCCCGAGCAGCTGGGACTACAGGTGCCTACCACCACGCCCGGCTAATTTTTTGTATTTTTTAGTAGAGACGGGGTTTCACCGTGTTAGCCAGGATGGTCTCGATCTCCTGACCTCGTGATCCGCCCGCCTCGGCCTCCCAAAGTGCTGGGATTACAGGCGTGAGCCACCGCGCCCGGCCTCCCCCATTTCTTTCTCTTCATAATTCTCATCACTATCTGTCCATTTCTCTGGGCCGGTGGTGCTGTCCACGTGGCTGTTGAAGTCTCCCACAGGTTGCAGGAGCTGAGGTGGGCAGCCTGCGGTGAATGCTGTGCCGTACCTGCAGGGCATGAAGGAAACCGCCTGAGATGCAGGCAGATGGATAACCCCGCAGAGGAGGAGAAGGCAGGGGTTTTGCAAAGTGAAGAAGAAAGAGAATGTTGCAATCAGATGGCTTGAATCTAAAGAAATCTACGATCAGTTGGTATGAATTTTTTTTTTTTTTTTTTTTTTTTTTTTTTTTTTTTTTTTTTGCATGGGAGCGGAAGTGTCATGATTTGGAGGCAAACATGGGTGATGATTAAACCATGGATAGTGATGAAATGCTAGTGTTGCTTCTGGATGTGGGGTTCATGCAGTTTGAGAGAAGGAGTTTTTTTTTCTTCTATCAGCAACATTGCAGGGAAACAGTGTCTTCCAGGGAGAATTAGACAAGTCACTCTTCTGAGCCTCAGCCTGATAATCCAAATATGGGAATGATGCTATCGAACTAACATGGCTGTTACAATGATCAGATAAGGACATCACCTACATTTTTTTTGGCATTATGTACTAAATAAATGCTTATTATACAGCAATTAGGACAAATAAATAATTAAAACATAAACATTGAATTTTATCCTTCAAAATGATGAAATACATAAAAGTAAAAGAAATACAGGGTAAAAATAATAAAATACAAAATATTAATGGTGGAAAGGCTCTCAGAGGTTTTAGAACTCATCAGCCTTTTATCCCAGTTAAAGAAGCTAAGCTCCCGAAAGATTAGAGACTGGCTCTAGGTCACGTTACTCCAGGCTCAAACCCAGGAATTCTGATGCCATCTCAGTAGACAGCATCATCCCACCACCAGATTATGAGGATGTAGCTTACAAACAAAATTTGGGATATTTAATAGTATAGTTGCTTCGATTTCTTTTTACAAAATCCAGATGGCTAGGTTTAACAGATTTATAGTGAGTTAAATAGAAATGCTTATGTATTTTACAAAAACTGGTCATACGCTTAAGCACAGATTCTCTGTAAATACCCTGACACAGATTTTGCACACCACATTCTTTTTTTTTAATTTTATTTTATTATTATTATACTTTAAGTTTTAGGGTACATGTGCACAATGTGCAGGTTAGTTACATATGTATACATGTGCCATGCTGGTGTGCTGCACCCATTAACTCATCATTTAGCATTAGGTATGTCTCCTAATGCTATCCCTCCCCACTCCCCCCACCCCACAACAGTCCCCAGAGTGTGATGTTCCCCTTGCACACCACATTCTTGAACATCAATACCAAAAAATTGGAAAGATACAGCAATAACAGGCTGGGTGCCGTGGCTCACGCCTGTAATCCCAGTGCTTTGGGAGGCTGAGGCGGGAGGATTGCTTGAGGCCAGGAGTTTGAGACCAGCCTGGGAAACATGAGAAGACCTCATTTCTACAGAAATAAATGAACAAATAAAAATAAGCTAGGCGTGGTGGCCCGTGCCTGTAATCCTATTTATTTGGGAGGGCGAGGCAGGAGGATCGCTCGAGCCCAGGAGCTCAAGGTTACAGTGAGCTATGACTATGCCACTGTGCTCTAGACAGAGCAACACATCACAACCTCATCTCACAAAACAAATTAAAACAAGATACAGCAATAACATAACGTGTAGGTAAAAAAAAAAGAAAAAATATTTTTAAGATTTTAAAAATGCTTGGTTGTAGAGACCAAACTGAGAATTTTAATGTGATGTAAAATAAATTATATATAATGAGTTACGTTTAAGGGTGAAAATGTGGACACTAACCAAAGAACGAAAATAAATACAAAACAGAGAAAAACAGGAAATACTGTGAAATTGATACATACGCTATTTGTTGCTTTTCAAAAAACAAGTTAACAAACGTTGCAATCCACAATCCCTAGAGAAATGGTGCAAATAGACTACGACAGGAGAGCAGAAAATAAGCTTCTACACAGGGTAAGATGGAGGACGTAGCTCCCAACTCCAAACTTTAGGGAGCAATGGAATTGTTTAGAATATTTCCACAAATACTCTTTGGAAGCAAGTAGGGGAAGAATTCCTCTATCAGGCAGGCTTGACCTCACGCCCTTTACTCATCACAAGCACTAAAGAGAATCTGATGAATGTCTGATAGGTCATCTAGCACATGAATGATAGGCCATCTCTAAAACCAATAAATAGCACGGTCCTTCCCGAAACTCTCGAAGGCAGCAGAAGTAGAGCAACCGTCCTTTCCTAGCACCAAACTTTAGGTTTCCACAAAATATTCCTGTGAAGGAGAGAAATCAGCTGAAGAGGGACCCTCACTACTACTTTGCTCTCCTTACAGGATGTAAATTTCCCCTGTTAAATATTTTATGATGAGTGAAAATAAAACCTCATTGAAATGTAGGTGCTAGGTGGCCTGTTCCCACGTTTTTAACTTAAATCAAAATTCAGTAATACCCCATATTAATTTTGCATAAAGTATAATTTTAAATTATTTTGCAATTTTTAATATTGCATTTATGGTCTTTCTGGGTCATTAGAATCCTCAAAGTTGCAAATATTTAAATCTTTCAATATTAAGGGTACAAGTGTACACTGTATACAGTAAAGAGATACCACAAATCTGTATGGGAAAAAAGACTTTTAAAATGTTTTTGTTGCAGTTGTTGTTTAATGCCACTTAAACAATTAGCCATTTGGGAAAATTTTAGGTCTTTATTTCATACCATAACCCAAATAAATTATAACTGGATTAATGTTAATTTTATTTTAAAAAATCAAACCATAGCCAGGTGTGGTGGCTCATGCTTGTAATCCTAGCGCTTTAGGAGGCCAAGGCAAGAGGATTGCTTGAGGCCAGGAGTTCTAAGACCAGCCTGACAACACAGTGAGACACCATCTCTACAAAAATTTTTATTAAAAAAAGTAGGCGAGTGTGTTGGTGCACACCTGTAGTCCTAAGCTACTCAGGAGGCTGAGGCAAGAGGATCGCTTGAGTCCAGGAGTTGGAGGTTATAGTGAGCTATAATAGCACCACTCCACTCCAGCCTGGGCAACAGAGTGAGACTGTCTCTGTAAAAACATCATCATCATCAAACTTCTTAAGGGATAATTTAAAAATATAAAAACATAGATTAATACTTGCCTGTTTTATGAATAAAGAAATTTCAAAGCTTAAAACCAATGGAAAAGGTGCTAAAAAAAAGTCTATTTTTTTAACAAAAAAATGTAAAATTGCTGCAAATAAAAAATAATAAAATTAAATAACAGTAGGCTGGGGAAATGTAACAGGACTAAAAGTTAATATTTTTAGTATGTAAAATGTACATTTAAAATCCATTAAAAATACAACTCCAAGCTGGGCATGGTGGCTCACGCCCATAATCCCAGCACTTTGGAAGGCTGAGGCAGGTAGATCATTTGAAGTCAGAAGTTTGAGACCAGCCTGGCCAACACGGTGAAACCCCATCTCCACTAAAAATACAAAAATTAGCTGGACATGTTGGCAGGTGCCTGTAATCCCAGCTACTTGGGAGGCTGAAGCAGGACAATTGCTTGAAGCCAGGAGGTGAATGTTGCAGTGAGCTGAGATCATGCTACTGCACTCCAGCCTGGGTGACAGAGCGAGACTCTATCTAAAAAAAAAAAAACAAAAAACAAAACTACTCCGATAGGCAAAGTACACGACAATTTCATTTACAAATGGCTAATCATGTGGAAAATTCAACCTCACCAGCGATTAAAAAAAAATTAACCAGATTTTTTAAAATTGAGGCACGATTAACATAAAACTGATCATTTAAAAATGAACAATTAAGTAGCATTTCGCACCTTCACAATGTTGTACAGCCATGACCTCTAACTCCAAAACATTTTCATTACCTGAAAAGAAAGTCTTTTAGCCATTAAGCAGCTTCCTTCCCTCCAGTCTCTGGCAACCACCTATCTGTGTTCTGTCTCTTTCTAGATATTTCATATCAACGGAATCATACAATATGTAACTTTTTGTGTCGGGCTTCTTTCACTTAGTATATTTTTGAGGTTCATCCACATGGTGGATGTGTCAGTGCTTCCTTTTTTATGGTTGAATAATATTCCATTCTGTGATACACCACAGTTTGTTTCTCCATTCATCCATTGATGGGCATTTGGGCTGTTTCCCTCTTTTGGCTGTTGTCAACAGTACTGCTGTGACCATGCACATATATACATTTGTTTGAATTCTTTTGGGCATGTTCCTAGGAATAGAATTGCTGGGTCTTATGGTAATTCCAGGTTTAATTTTTTGAGGAGCTGCCAAGCTCTTTTCTTCAGTGGCTGCACCATTTACACTCCCACCAGCAATGTGTAAGAGTTCAAATTTCTCCATATCCCTGCCAAAACTTATTTTTCATTTTTTAAGTTCTCGTCATCCTAGTGGAAGTGAAGTGGTTCTTCACGTTGGTTTTGATTTGTGTTTTCCTAATGACATGATGTTTCGCATCTGTTTGTGTGCTTGCTAGCCATTCGTACATCTTCTTAGGAGAACCAGATGTTATTTTTCACCTATCAAATGAGCAGACATGATTTTAAAATGCTAATAATGTTACGTAATATTATAGAAGCTATTTTAGGTGAAAAATGTGAAGTATAAAGCTGTGTGTGTGCTGCCAATAGTATGAAAACATATGTGTTAAAAATGGGACTCTTGTTAGCTCAGTTTTGGTTGAGGCATGAAAATCATAGCTGTAATATTCCAAAGTGAGTTGTTAGACTGACCACGATAAAGATATTTCAAAATAGAGATCTGAGAACCAATGAGATGGCTCAGCCAGATTGAGTCATGTTGTTAGAGATTAAAGGAGATTTTTGGAGAAAGCTACTGCTCAAAGCCTGGTGAGAGAGACTTGATATGAATTCAGCACATTCTCAGACATCAATACAATAAAATTGGAAATATATTGGGATTGAGGAGAAGTGAACTAATGTTAGTTTTCTGCCGAAAATCAAAAGGATAAAAAGACTGTGACCAGCTGTAGAACAAAGGACACTTGCTTTTAGATTAGTAGCTGTATTTATGGCAGAGTTTGCTTTGGCAGTGTTGGAGAGAGAGCTATAGGGATCATCTTAGATGGTGTCCGGTAGGACTATCTAGAAGAATGGACAGGCCTCAGCAGAGAAGCTGGAGACAGAACACAGGATCTTAAGGAGCTGAGAAGACAGATTGAGTCACCAGAATAGAATGCACTTGCCCAGTTTGTGGGAACTGCTGACCAGAGACCACCAGGGATGAGAAGGGAGGTCCTCAAAGTTGCTATTGCCAGCCACACACCCTCAGAGAACTCAGCCCAGAGAGTGCCCTTCAGGCAAGAGAGAACTTTCCTGTTCTCTGTACTCCTCCCCTCCCACCCATCATTCCCAACAGCACTGGACAAGTGTTTCAATTTCTCCACCACCTCCCCAACACTTGCTATTGTCTGTCTTTTTCATTCTTGCCGTCCTAGTGGATGTAAAGGGATACCTCACTGTGATTTTTATTAACGTTTTTCTGATGACTAATGGTGTTGAACATCTTTTCACATGCTCATCAGCCATTTATACGTCTTTGCAAAGATGTCTATTCAAATCTCTTGCGCATTTTAAATCAGGTTGTCTTTTTATTACTAACTTGTAAGAATTATTTATATATTCTCATACAAGTCCTTTAGTATATGTATGATTTGGAAATACTTTCCCCCATTTTGTGGATTTTTTTCTCTTTCTTTGTTTCTTTTTCTTTTCTTTTCTTTTTTTTCTTTCTTTTTTTTTTTTTTGACAGAGTCTTGCTCTGTCACCCAGGCTGGAGTGCAGTGGCACGATCTTGGCTCACTGCAACCTCCGCCTCCTGGGGTCAAGTGATTCTCCTGCCTCAGCCTCCTAAGTAGCTGGGATTACAGGCACCCACCACCACACCTGGCTAATTTTTTTTTTTTGTATTTTTAATAGAGACGGGGTTTCGCTATGTTGGCCAGGCTGGTCTTGAACTCCTGACCTCAGGTGATCCACCCCCCTCAGCCTCCCAAAGTGCTGGGATTACAGGCATAAGCCACCGCACCAGCCATTTTTTTTTTTTCATTTTCTCGATTGTGTCTTTTAAGCACAAAAGTTTTTGCTTTTGATGAATTCCAACGTATATGTTTTTTCTTATGTCCCCTGTATTTTTGGTGTCATATCTAAGAAACCATTGCCTCACCTAAGGTCATAAATATATGCTTATGTTTCCTTCTGAGTTTTATAATTTTAGCTCTTACCTTAGGTCTATGACCCATTTGATTTGATTTTTAGTATGATATGAGGTAGGGGTCTAACTTCATTCTTTTGCATGTGGATATTCCGTTGCCTCAGCACAATTTATTGAAAAGACTATACTTTCTCCATTGAATTGTCTTGGCCCTTGTCAAAAATCAATTGACCATAGACACATGGTTTATTTCTGGTTTCTGTGTCTATCCTTACACCAATGGCACACTGTTTTGATTATTATCACTTTGTAGTAACCCTTGAAATCAGAAAGCCCTTCAACCTTATTTTTCTTTTTCAAAATTATTTTGGCTAATCTAGGTCCATTGCCTTTTCATATGACTTTTAGGATCAATTTCTTTAAAAAGAGCCAGCTGGGATTGCAATAGGGATTGCACTAAATCTGTAGATTAGTATGGGGGTTATTGCCATATTAAGTCTTCTGATCAAAACATGAGATTTTTTTATACCTTTCTAATGATTTTACACTGGCTACAAGAAAAAGTCTAAACTCTGCTACTTGAAGTTTGGGGTTCCTTCTACATCAAGCCCCTGGTGTACTTCAATAATACACTTTCTCTACTTTAACCATGCCAATTATTCCCATGTCCTCTAAGCAGAATAGGTCCCCACTGAAGCTTGAACTCAAAGGCTGAGGTGGGCGGATCACCTGAGGTCAGGAGCTCGAGACCAGCCTGGCCAACACGGTGAAACCCCGTCTCTACTAAAAATACAAAAATTAGCCTGGCATGTTGGCAGGCACCTGTAATCCCAGCTACTTGGGAGGCTGAGGCAGGAGAATTGCTTGAACCCGGGAGGCGGATGTTGCAGTGAGCCAATATCATGCCACTGCACTCCAGCCTGGGTGATAGAACAAGACTCCATCTCAGAAAAAAAAAAAAACTTGAACTCAAGAGCAAAAGTCGTGATGCATGTCTGCATCCCATGCACCAAACTCAATGCCTAAGAAGGTGTCCTTTCAGTAAAAATTTGCTAAATTTAAGCTGATCAGTCAAGACCAAGCTAAAATCATTTTTTAAAATGGAAATCCAGTTCAGTTCCACCTGCTCCTTTAGAATTCTCCCCAAAACCACTCTCTAACCCACAATTACTGGCTTCCCCTCAACATCTATGGCACATGATGTTGCATATTTTTGTACATAATAATGTATTTCTTGTTTCCTTCCAATGAAAATGAAAGCACTGTAAGAGCCAAACACATAGTAAATGCTCAAGAAATATTCATCACATTGAACTTTGATTTGGATTGCCGTATTTTTTCAGCTATGTGGACTAACATTGCCCTGTTCTTGCCTCCCCAGGGGATGTTCTGGTGTTCCTGGACAGCCACTGTGAGGTGAACAGAGTATGGCTGGAGCCCCTGCTGCATGCCATTGCCAAGGACCCCAAAATGGTGGTGTGCCCCCTGATAGATGTCATTGATGATAGAACTCTGGAGTATAAGCCCTCTCCTCTTGTAAGGGGAACTTTTGATTGGAACCTACAATTTAAATGGGATAATGTTTTCTCTTATGAGATGGATGGACCAGAAGGATCTACTAAACCAATCCGGTGAGATTTCTTCTGGTTTTGGAAAAATATAGCATACGTGTATTGAGACCCAGGGGGAAAAAGCCTCCAGAGATTATTCTTTCAAGTTCTTGGGCTTAATCAAAATGTTATGTTACTTGTTTCTAGAAGTCTTTAATACAGTAATAGAATTATTGTTAATAGAATCACTTAGGACTCAATATATAACGTGATATGATATTTATCTTCATATCATCTATAACTCTTTGATTCTCTGGTACTGAACACAATCCTATATGGATTCAATCATGACTTTCAGGAGCAATATTTCATTTGACTAAAAGCTCAAGTCAAACAGATCTGGTTTGAAGGAGAGACTCCATCATTTGTTAGCAGTTTAGGGCTGCCATGTACAGTTGCACCAGCTGTGCACTGCACATCTCCAGGAGATACTGTTCACACAAAGACCACAAGGTCAATGGCATGTCTGGAATTGTACATTAAGATGGCCCTCAGTTGGCACAATTACCTCTCTCAACTTCAATGTCGTCCTCATCTGTTAAACAGTGATAGTAATAATTAACACATTTCTTAGGATCGTTGAGGGGATTAAATGAGCCAATACATGTAAAACACATAGCATAAGGCTTGACACAGAGGAAGTGATCTGATCAATATCAACATTAGCTACAGTAATGTCACAGACTTTGGAACAAAGAGGAACAAAAGTGTACTTTATTGTAATAAAATGTAATATGTAGAAATCTCAACTTAATAAAAATAAACAGCATTAATCTTTTGAGTTATCTCAAAACTATTTTAAATAGTTACTTTTAGTAAGAAATAGCTATGGTGTTCCAATTACACAAACTTGGTTTATAATTTTTGTAATATTTCCATATCTCACATATAAAACATTTTTAGGCTCTAATGTAAAAATAACTGATATTCAACAGGGAAACTGTATTCCTAATATTTATTTGCTAAATGGTAAAATGTTTAGAATTCTAATACACTGCTCGTGTGTATATACATTGGATCATTCTTTTTGAAAACAATTTGGCAATGCAAATTAAGAATCTTATAAATATCCTTATTCTTTGATGCAGTAATCCACTTACTTGAATTTATTTGAAGAGAGTCAGAAATAAGCACGGAGATATATATAGTGTGTCAATATTTATATTCATAAAAAACTGAAAACAACATATTCAATACTATTGAAATGGGTAAAAAATAAAGTATATTCATTTTTATGGACTATCACATAATCATTAAAGTTAAGTTTTCAAGGGCTAATTAACTAGAAAGAAAACTTCTCATGTGTTAAATTAAAAAATCAAACCATAAAAAATGTTCTGTCAGTATACCTTTGTGTGATTAAATATGTACCTATTATATGTAATATATATTATACATATTACATATATTATAATTGTATGTTACATTAAAATATATAATATGTATAAGAAAACATAAGTTATTTTTTAAAGGTTAAAAGAAAAAATAAATTTTATTTTGTTATTTTATTGATTTATTATTATTTGTATAAATATAAGGGGTACAAGTGCAATTTTGTTATATGGCTATATTGCCTAGTGGTAAAGTCTGGACTTTCCAAGTATCCACCACTCAAACAATGTACACCGGACCCATTAAGTCACTTCTCATCATCCATTGCCCTCCTGTCACCACCCTTCTGTCTCCAATGCCTGTCAGTCCACACTCTATGTCCATGTGTATACATTATTTAGTTCCCACTTATAAATGAGAACATGTGTATTTCTCTTTCTGCTTCTGGATTGTTTCACTTAAGATAATGGCCTCCAGTTCCATCCATGTTGCAGCCAAAGACATCATTTTATTCTTTTTTATGGCTGAATAGTATTCCATTGTGTATATATACCACATTTTCTTTATCCAGTCTTCCACTGAGGGACACTTTAGTTGATCCCATGACTTTACAGTTGTGAATAGTGCTGTGATAAACATACAATGGCAGGTATCTTTTTGACACAGATGATTTCTTTCCCTTTAGGAAGATACCCAATAGTGAGAATGCTGGATTCAATGGTAGTTCTACTTTTAGTTCGTTGAGAAATCTCTGTATTGTTTTCCACAGCGGTTGTACTAATTTACATTCCTACCAACACTGTGCAAGCGTTCCCTTTTCTCCTCATCCTCGCCAGCATCTGTTACATATTAGTCATGGTATTAATTAGCATTCATATCTGAAGATACATTTTTCCCTTAGTTCTAATGACGACCAAAAAAGCTAGGTGCAATGAGTTTTGGAAAACTTAACACACACACACACAAAAAGCAAAATCATGCCTAGGGCTTAAGCCAATGATAACTCAAGACCTCCCCAGCTCCCTGACATGCAGGCATCACCATGACCAAGGATCATGCCCTTTTCCCCCAGCCACCTGCCCTTTTCTAAGGGCAGAGCAAGGCCCTTTCACTTTCTCCCTGCTGTCTCAGACCACAGCTGACTCCAACGTTTTCGGCCTGCACACCAAATGGACGGAACTGCAGTGCCCTGAGATGAGAAATACCATGAGTGGAGCAGGTTTTTGGCAGGAAGATTCTCTTTGGGGCATATTTGAGATGTCTATTTGGCATTCAAGTGGGGATGTGAAGTAGGTAGTTGGATGCAGTTGGATACATGAGTCCCTTATGAGATGGATGGGCCAGAAGGACCTACTAAACCAATCTGGTGAGATTTCTTCTGGTTTTGGAAAAATATAGAATATGTATATTGAGACCCAGGGGGAAAAAGCCTCCAGAGATTATTCTTTCAAGTTCTTAGGCTTAATCAAATTGTTCTGTTACTTGCTTCTAGAAGTCTTTAATACAGTAATAGAATTATTGTCAATAGAATTACTTAGGACTCAATCTATAACATGATATGACATTTATCTTCATATCATCTATAACTCTTTGATTCTCTGGTACTGAACACAATCCTATATGGATTCAATCATGAGTCTGGAGTTTTGAGAGAGGTCAGGGCTGGAGGCATCCTTTGGGAGTCATGGATAGGATGGATGAGAATCACTATGTGGGTGAGTGGAGAAGTGTAGAGGACCAGCCCTGAGCCCTGGGTGCTTCAACATTGACAGTTGAGAGGAGGAGAGGAACTGGCAAAGGAGATGGGAAGGAGCAACCAGGGAGGGAGGAGAAGGACCAGGAAATCTGGTTCCCTGGAGGCCCAGGGAGGCATGTGTGTCCAAGAGAAGGGTGTGGCCAGCAGCATCCAACACAGTGGCTGGATCAGCGAGAGAAGGACTGGAAATGAGCATTGGACTAAACCATGAGAAGGTCATGAACAAGTCTTAATTGTGAATGGCGGGAGGCGAAGCCTGATGGAAGGGAGTTTAAGGGAATTAGAGATAGTGATGGACAAATCTTTCTAAGGCTTTAATACGAAAGAGAGAAAAGGGGACATAACTGACAGGAAGTGGGGTCAAAATAAGGCGGTTTTAATTTTGTAATTGGCAGAGATAACAGCATGACTGGATTCTGATAGGAATGTTCCTATCTGGTGCACTCGGCAATGTGTGTCACATCTGGTGCAGTAGGCACCCCACACCCGACCCATAAGCAAATCTGTTAGCTCCATCTCCAAAATATGCCAGGAATTCAACCGCATCTTACTACCTACATTGCTGCATTCTTATCCCGGATCCCATTATTTTTCTCTGCAGCCCCTCTAATTGGCTTCCCTACCCTTTCCCCTACACATGGGTCTTGGTTTGTGTGTTGAGTGACTCATATCCCTAAAACATAGGTGCTCAATAAATACTTATTTGAACAAATGAATGTAAACTTGTGATTATTTTTCTTTTTCTTTTTTTTGGGGGGGGCGGGACAGATTCTCACTCTGTTGCCCAGGCTGGAGTGCAGTGGTGCGATCTCAGCTCACTGCAGCCTCCCAGGTTCAAGCGATTCTCATGCCACAGTGTCCTGGGTAGCTGGGATTACAGGCGCGGGCAACTGCATCTGGCTAATTTTTGTATTTTTCGTAGAGATGGGGTTTCACCATGTTGGCCAGGCTGGTCTTGAACTCCTGACCTCAAATGATCCACCAGCCTCAGCCTCCCAAGTGTTGGGATTACAGGTGTGAGCCACCACACCCAGCTGTGACTATTTTCAAACTACTTAGTTTGGTATTATTTGGCCCTACTATTGGTGGACAAAACAAGATGCTTCTTAATATTATGGTTTGTCCAGAAGTAAATATTACAATTCACCTAATGTCTTTAGAAAGGGAGAGCTCTGAGCCCTGCTACCCAGTTCAATTGTCATCCTCATGGGAAACTTACATTCCAAATATCATTTTCCTTCTCATTAGGAAAACATTTAGAATATATCGCATACACATTTTGGTGAGAACTAAGTAAAAGTTATTGCCTACTTTTGTTGTGGTTTTTAGTAATTTTATATACTTAAATGTATAATAGGATAATTTTAGTATTAATGTTTTCTCTTTTTTTTTTTTTTTTTTTTTTGAGACAGAGTCTGGCTCTGTCGTCCCAGGCTGGAGTGCTGTGGCACGATCTCAGCTCACTGCAACCTCTGCCTCCCAGGTACAAGCGATTCTCCTGCCTCAGCCTCCCGAGTAGCTGGGACTACAGGCGCATGCCACCTTGCCTGGCTAATTTTTTGTATTTTTAGTAGAGACGGGGTTTCACTGTGTTAGCCAGGATGGTCTCGATCTCCTGAACTCGTAATGCACCCGCCTCGGCCTCCCAAAGTGCTGGGATTACAGGCATGAGCCTCCACACCCGGCCTGTTTTCTCATTTTAAACTATAAGTTATTACTAATTTAATATAATTTTGAGGAAACTACAGAATGACTTTCTCTGTGAAATTAATTTCATATTTATGTCCCCTTTCTAGGTCACCTGCAATGTCTGGAGGAATTTTTGCTATACGTCGGCATTATTTTAATGAAATTGGACAGTATGACAAGGATATGGATTTTTGGGGAAGAGAAAATTTGGAACTTTCACTAAGGGTAATTCAGATTTCATTTTTAAAATAGCTATAGAGAGTGAAACCTAACTTTGTCACATACAATGCTGTGGTAATTATGCTCAATTTTCCTACATGAACATCCAGTACCATTCCAGCAGCACATGCAATAAACAATTTATGGGGCTCCTTGTAAAAATGGAAAACATTTAATAAAATATTAGATTCTTGGCCTGGTGTGGTGGCTCATGCCTGTAATCTCAGCACTTTGGGAGGCTGAGGCAAGTGGATTGTTTGAAGCCAGGAGTTCAAGACCAGCCTCAGCAACATAGCAAGACCCCCATCTCTACTTTTTTTTTTTATGAGATGTGGTCTCGCTATGTTGCCCAGGGTGGTCTTGAACTCCTGAGCTCAAGTAATCCTCCCATCTCGGCCTCCCAAAGCACTGAGATTACAGGTGTGAGCTACTGTGCCTAGACTCTACTTCTTAAAATAAATATATTTAATTTAATTTAAAAATATTTGGTTCTTATACCATATGTTTTGTTATTTCTGATGTATGGTATATCAAATTAATATAATATTTTAAATCTATTGTCTTTATTGTCTCAGTAGTTGTGTTTTTTCCAATTTTTTCTGTTTTGGATTTTATTTTCTCTCTCTTTTCCTTCCTTCTTTTGGCCAGTTATTTGTTCACTTTTAAAGTTCCCAAGCAGACTTCTTTCATAATGCTTCAGATACTTGATTATGCATATAAAAATATCTAGAACAATATAGTTTCCTCCAAGCCTCTATCTGATGGTCCCTCTTAAGCTTGTTGTTTTTGTTGTTTGTTTGTTTGTTTGTTTGCTTGCTTTGTTTTTTTCATTCTCATGTTCCCTTTGGACGTAGGCATTATTTTATAACGCTCATGCCTTTGGCGCATTTTATTCTGTTTAGTTGATTATTCCTTGTTTTATTATATTGCACTCTAAGAAAATGGCTCAAGGAGTTCACCTCCTTTCAGGATCTAATAACTGTGATCAGTTTTGTGTATTATACAGGCAGAGTTGGAGAGTCAGTATATTCCTTTTTCTGGCCCTACATTCCCTATAGATAGCAAATGACAACTAATTTATTATTCAAACATTAATTATTCCTACTCCAATATTTCAATGGCGCCTTTCCTGATGGCCTGTCATATCTTTTAAATATACTTGGGTGTCTTTTTATAAAGAAGTATGTAAATTAATAAGTAGCTGAAATATTCTCTTGACACTGGCAGCTGTCTCTAACCACGACAAGTAACCTTGTCTTTCCTGAGAAAAGAATGATCTCTGCACCTGCATACACCTCTTCATTTCTCGTTTACTCCTCATTCCAGTAAATCGATATCCTGGAAGGCCCTCAGCTTTCCGTGACATCGTTCCAGGAACTGCCACCAGTTTTGTAGTGATGTCCTTAATGGATGGCTTTTGATCTTCCATCTATCTGAGGTCATTGCAGCATCTGACACTAAACTGTCTTTTCTGGAAGTTTTCTTGGACGTTAGGACAATATTCCTGGTTTGCCTTCCATTGCTCAGTTGTTCTCAGTTTCCTTTGTAGGAATTTCTGCTGTGGCTCATCTCTTAGACACAGGTGTCCCCAAGGTTTCCATCCTTGTCAGACTTTGCTTCTTACCCCATGTGCTCTTCAGGGCTCAGGGCTAGCATCCAGGTCCTCTGCTCCTGTGAAGCCACACTGGTTGTTAACATAATGCAGTCTTTCTGCATCTGGTGTGAAAAAACCTCTACTCTGAGCCAACCAAATACCTTCCACCTGCAGCCCAACCATAGGTCTACGCTCCCTGGACCTTCCCATGTTCCAGTAACTAAGGGAATAGCACTTGGCAGGGCAAGTCTACTCTGATCGCCGAGGGTCTGTGCCACACCCTTGTTGATATTTTTAGTAGGATACTTGCATCAGTCCCCATGGCTGTAACTAATACCTGTATCACGATAATATCCAACTCTATAGTTTCAGTTTAGGACTATCTCTTGAGAGTAATATTTAAGCTCAATCTAGCCATCATTTAAGGAGCACTTCCTTTAAGTCAAACTGTGCTGTATGCTGAGCATTGAGAAGAAGACACAGTCTTCATTAATTCATCCATGCAACAATATGTATTGAGTACTGTTATGTATGAAGCACTGTGCTGGGTGCTAAAATACAGTGGCACACAATACGAAAGTGGCTTCTTTTTTTTTTTTGAGACGGAGTCTTGCTCTGTCGCCAGGCTGGAGTGCAGTGGCACGATCTTGGCTCACTGCAATCTCCGCCTCCCAGGTTCAAGCGATTCCCCTGCCTCAGCCTCCCGAGTAGTTGGGACTACAGACATGCACCACAACACCTGGCTAATTGTTTGTATTTTAGTAGAGATGGGGTTTCACCATGTTGGCCAGGATGGTCTTGATCTTCTGACCTTGTGATCCGCCTGCCTCGGCCTCCCAAAGTGCTGGGATTACAGGCACAAGCCACCGCGTCCAGCCAAAAGTGCTTCTAATGTCATGAATCTTCTATCTATTGAGTAGGGTGAGATTATCAGATATTTAATTTTATTTTTGGCCCAGGTGCGGCAGCTCACACCTATAATCCCAGCACTTGGGGAGGCCAAAGTAGGTGGATCACCTGAGGTCAGGAGTTTGAGACCAGCCTGGCTAACATGGTGAAACCCCGTCTCTTCTAATAATACAAAAATTAGCTGGGCATGGTGGTACACGTCTGTAATCCCAGCTACTCAGGAAGCTGAGGCACGAGAATTGCTTGAACCTGGGAGGTGGAGGTTACAGTGAGCCGAGATCGTGCCACTGCATTCCAGCCTGGGCGGACAGAGCGAGACTCTGTCTCAAAAAAAAAAAAAATTATTTTTGATAAATGCAATAGAAAAATACAGAGTATTATGGGACCCTCTAAAAGGAGAACCTAGCCTTCTCTTGGGGGATTATGTGTCTTAGATGGCTTCCCTGAAGAACTGACATTTAAGATACATGTAAAGGATAAAATATATTTTATTTAACAAGTTCTTATATCTGACATGCACTGCTCTAAAATCTTACAGATATTAACTCATTTAATCCTCCTAACAAACCTGTAAGGTAAGTACCACCATTATCTCTGACTTCTAGTGGAGAAACCGAGCCACAGAGAGGTTGAGTAACTTGCCCAAATTCACAGAACTAGTAAGCACTCTGCTCCCAACCTGTTGCTTCCTGCCTCATGCTGTCTACTCAACTTCAGGTCTTGAGACCCCACCAGCTCAGTTCCACCCTGTTTCTAAGTCACTTCCATCTGAGGCCGGCAATGTATTGGAAGCCTCCAATGCTCTGAATTTTTTTTCAGTTGCCCTGAACTCAGTGCTACTATTGCTCGTGGAAAGTGATGGTTCGTGGATGCCCACAAAGCTACAGGTTCACTTCCAGTCTCTGAATGGTTCTGGTAACTGAGCTTCAACATGGCATTTCAATTTTCCTGGCAAAACAGAGGCTGGCCTCAAACAGCCCCAACAATCTGCAGTCTTGGTTCACCTGATCTCCCCGACACCTGCAGTCCATCCTGCCATCCCCAGATGCTGGCAAGGTGTGCTGCTCCAGGAACCAGGGCCTTGCCCTGCACTTGAAAGATTATCCCTAGAGAAGCCCTTTTCTCTGCCTCTCCCCCATGCTGAACCTCTTAGATATCAATGCCAGTTTAGACTCCACCCAAGGTTGCTAAATCTCCTTGGATGCTCTGGTGTGAAAACAAACCATATGTTCTGTAATAGAGAAATAGTCAAGCAAATTCTCAAACACCTGCACAAGGGAGAATTAGGCAAGTCACTCAACAGTCTCCTCCTTCTCTGCCTGGAACACTCCAGTACCTCAGTGGGTTACCCTTGGCCCATCTGCTCAGAATTTCTATTCCTAAGAGTTTTAGGATTCAGGCAGTTATTGTCACAGCAGCAGTCAGCTCTTGCCATCATGATGCTATGTAATAAACCACCTCAAAACTGAGTGGTTGAGAACAATAAGCATTTACTTTTTCTTTCATCTGTCCATGGTTGGCCAAAGTGGCTCTGCCTCAGAATACAGGTTGTTGGGCTGGGCTCTAGTCTCTGAATTGGATTCAGATCTGATTATCATTCTAGGAGTAGCAGCGACTCACAGCATATCCTTCTCATGCTGAATGGCAGGAATTCAAAAGTCAAGCCAAACCACACAGCACATTTATACCTCTGCATGCATGATGTGTGCTCACGATCCATTGGCCAAATGTGTCAAACAGAGAAGCCCAAATTCAGTGGGTCAGGGAAACACGCTGTTCTGCAAGATGAGGGACAAGGACTGAGCTGTTTATTGAACAAGATTTCAATCTATCACACCAAGTTTCTGGAATGACCAGCTAAGTGGATGGAGGTCTTATTTACTTGAGTAAATAAAACTGGTGTTAGCCAGTCAGAATGGCTATTACTAAAAAGTCAAAAAACAAACAAACAAACAAAAAAACAAACAGATGCTGGCGAGGCTGTGGAGAGAAGGGAATGCTATACTCTGCTGCTGTGGGAGTGTAAATTAGTTCAACCATTGTGGAAAGCAGTTGGGAGATTTCTCAAAGAATTTAAAACAGAACTACCATTTGACCCAGCAATCCTATTACTGGGTATATTACCCAAAGGAATATACATTGTTCTACCATAAAGACACATGCATGCCTATGTTCTCATTGTAGCACTTTCCACAATAACAAAGACATGGAATCAACCCAGATGCCCATCAACAGCGGACTGGGGCCAGGCATGGTGATTCACGCCTCTAATCCGAGCACTTTGGGAGGCCAAGGTGGGCAGATCACTTGAGGTCAGAAGTTCATGACCAACCTGGCCAACATGGTGAAACCCCATCTCCACCAAAAATACAAAAATGAGCTGGGTTTGGCAGTGTGTACCTGTAATCCCAGCTACTCAGGAGGCTTAGGCATGAGAATCGCTTGAACCTGGATGGCGGGGCATCCAGGCTGGATGACAGAGCAAGACTCAGTCTCAAAAAAACAAAAACAAAAACCAGTGGACTGGATAAAGAAAATGTGGTACATATACACCATGGAATGTTACACAGCCATTTAAAAATAATAAAATCATGTCCTTTGCAGCAAAGTGGGTGGAGCTGGAGGTCATTATCCTAAGCAAATTAACACAGGAACGGAAGACTAAATACTGCATGTTCTTATTTACAAGTGAGAGCTAAACATTGTACATGGACACAAAGCAGGGAACAACAGATACTGGGGCCTTCCTGAGGGTGGACTGTGGGAGGAGGGTGAGGATAAAAAACTACCTATTGAGTGCGATGCTCATTACCTGGGTGATGAAATGACCTGTGCTCAAAACCCCCAGACATGCATTTTACCCATGTAACACGCCTGCACATGTACCCTTGAACTGAAAACAAAAGTTGGAAAGAAAAAAAAAAACAAAAACTGGTGTTAGGAGGAAAATGCTCCTTCATGTATCAGCTAGCTTTTGCTGTATAACAAACTATCCCAAAACACAGTACTTTAAAGCAACAAGCAATGGTTATTTCTCATAATCCATTGTATCGCTAAAGTGGTTCTTCTAGGCTTAGCCAGAATAGCTGAGTTGTGTTGGTGTGAGAGCTACTCACAGAGTGGTTAGAGTAATTAAACAAAAGAGTTATGGCAAGTATACTGTAAGATGAGAAATCAGGTGCACAAGATTTATATCATAAGCACGTTCTTTGGGGTATTATTTTTAATAATAAAAATCAGAAGCTACCAAAGTGTCCAAACAACATAAGACTTCAAAAATAATTTCACACAACATCAAATGAAAAAAAATCAAGTTATCTTAATGTTTATGTCTACGTGAGTTTACATATATACCTGGGTTAATATTGACTCACTCGGAATGTTAGGACAAGAAGTGAATTGTGTTTTCTTCTGTGTGCTTTCCTGCATTTGCCAAATTTTCAATGGTTATATTTTACTTTTGTGTAGTAAAATTAATAGCTATTAAAAGTGAGCAACATAAGGAGTTTTAGGTATTAAAAAAGATGAATAATTGAATTCAGTCATGATCAGCATTTCTCTTGTTTCTTGCCTACATCCAGCAATTCCTGTAGGTAATTATGAGAGAGGCAGAACCCCTTCATCTTCATTGCTGGCTCTCAGTCAGGCTTTCTAAATTTGAACCTTGTACTCTACTGTGTAACTTCTGTGTCATTGGGCAAACTTCTTAACCAATCTATGTGTTAGTTTCCTCATCTGTAAAATGGGAATAATCACAGAATCTGAATTATAAGGCTGTTGTGAGAATTAAATAAGAAACTTAATTAGCCATTATTATGGGTTTTTGTGGTTGTCGTTTTTTGTTTTTGAGATGGAGTGTCGCTATGTTGCCCAGGCTGGAGTGCAGTGGCACGACCTCGGCTCACAACATCCACCTCCTGAGTTCAAGCAATTCTCCTGCCTCAGCCTCCCAAGTAGCTGGGATTACAGGCATGCGCCACCACGCCTGGCTAATTTTTGTATTTTTAGTAGAGAGAGGGTTTCACCACGTTGGCCAGGCTGGT
Organism: Homo sapiens; assembly: GCF_000001405.40. Classification (NCBI taxonomy): domain Eukaryota; kingdom Metazoa; phylum Chordata; class Mammalia; order Primates; family Hominidae; genus Homo; species Homo sapiens. The sequence goes on from NC_000007.14 coordinate 152,014,485, forward strand.
CTCAAACTCCCTTCCTTAGGTGATCTGACTGCCTTGGCCTCCCAAAATGCTGGGATTACAGGCATGAGCCACCGCACCTGGCCATTATATTGGTTTAAAAGCAGTTGCCTGTTAGCAGTAATAATGCATTCGTATGTTTTTTGTTCTTCTTATGCCTAGATCTGGATGTGTGGAGGCCAACTCTTTATAATCCCCTGCTCTCGAGTAGGACATATCAGTAAGAAACAAACTGGAAAACCTTCTACAATCATCAGTGCTATGACACATAACTACCTAAGACTGGTGCACGTTTGGCTGGATGAATATAAGGTGGGGAACACATCCTTGACTTGGAAAATGTATGCGAGGCCGGAGCAGGACTTGTTCTGAGGAAGCCTGCTGCTGCCTTTCCAGATCCAGCGTTTGTTCTGGAGGTCATTATCCTAAGCAAATTAACACAGGAACGGAAAACCAAATACTGCATGTTCTCATTTACAAGTGAGAGCTAAACATTATACATGGACACAAAGCAGGGAACAACAGATACTGGGGCCTTCCTGAGGGTGGACTGTGGGAGGAGGGTGAGGATAAAAAACTACCTATTGATAGTTATTGATAGTTGTTCTTTTCTCTGTTTTTCTTGAATACAGCACCCCTCTAACCCCTCATCAATCCATCCCCAACCCTATTCTCAGTTCATCCTAAGCTGCTACTCTTACATCTCATTATTTTTGTTTTAATTTCTGGGAAAACTCAAGTCTCTCAGAAGTAAATCAATCAACATGAGCAGTCTTTTTTATGGAGGTGCTGGATCTATTCCCTCCGTTCCCACCTCCAGGGAATTGTCCCACACCTGAAGCAAATAGCTTCTCCTTGCCCCGTCCCCATGTGCAACTCTTTTTTTTTTTTTTTTTGAGACGGAGTCTTGCTCTGTCGCCCAGGCTGGAGTGCAGTGGCGCGATCTCAGCTCACTGCAACCTCTGCCTCTCGGATTCAAGCGATCCTCCTGCCTCAGCCTCTGGAGTAGCTGGGACTACAGGCGCATACCATCAGGCCTGGCTAATTTTTGTATTTTTAGTAGAGACAGGGTTTCACCATGTTGGCCAGGCTGGTCTCAATCTCTTGACCTCATGATCCGCCCACCTCGGCCTTCCAAAGTGCTGGGATTTATAAGAGTGAGCCACCGTACCCGGCCCATGTGCAACTCTTGAGATTCTTTTTCTTCCCCGCTGATTTCCCAAGCAATGTGGATGCTGCTGGTCTTGAGACCGTGTGAGAACTTCCACTACCACTTTTCGACCAACAGCCAAAGATTTCTGTATCAAAACTATACCCTGTCATCTGTGCATTTCCCCAGGAGTTAAGTACCTTGCCAGGACTTACAAGGGTGCATGTCCATCCAGAAGCTATGTGTAAATAAATACAAAAACCCCAGCAAAATCTCATTTCAGATGAACAAATAGAAATGTGTAAGAATCTCTCTGACAGTGTATGTCCTGGTCTTCATCTTATGTTTCTCTAACTGAAAAAAACACACTTTAATTATGAAGGTAATAATGCTCCATTTCTTTTGTAATTAGAGAAATGTGAACTAAAACTTCAAAGAGCTATTTCAACACCACCACTTAGATTAGCAGAATTTTAAAAGTCTGACAGGCCTGGCTGGGCACAGTGGCTCATGTCTCTAATCTAAGCACTTGGGAGGCCGAGGCAGGCAGATCACCTGAGGTTGGGAGTTCAAGACCAGCCTGACCAACATGGAGAAACGCCATCTCTACTAAAAATACAAAATTAGCCGGGCATCATGGCACACTCCTGTAGTCCCAGCTACTCAGGAGGCTGAGGGAGGAGAATCGCTTGAACCCAGGAGGCGGAAGTTGCAGTGAGTCAAGATTGTGCCGTTGCACTTCAGCCTGGGCAACGAGAGCAAAACTCCGTCTCAAAAAAAAAAAAAAAATCTTATGGGCCCGAGTGTCAGTGAGCAATAGGATCTCTCAGCTTTCTTTCACTTATGGGAGTGTTGACTTTTACAAAATTACATCTGAAAATGGCGTGGCAGCACCTACTAAAGTAAAAGATCTGAATACCTTGTGATTCAGCAGTTCTGCTCATGCATATGCTACAGAAGCGCATGCTTTTGTGCACCAGGACACATGAACAAGAAAACTAATAAACAGCATTATTTGTTTTAGCTAAAACTTAATACAATACAAATACTCATCAACAGTACAGTGGACAACTGTGATATATTTAGTCGCTATAATCCTATACAGCAATGAAAATTAACTGGGCTGGGCATGGTGGCTCACACTTGTAATTTCAGCACTTAGGGAGGCCAAGGCGGATGGATCACCTGAGGCCAGGAGTTCAAGACCAGCCTGGCCAATGTGGTGAAACCTCATCTCTACTAAAAATACAAAAAAAATTAGCCGGGCATGGTGGTGGGCACCTGTAATCCCAGCTACTCGGGAGGCTGAAGCTGGAGAATTGCTTGAACCCAGGAGGTAGAGGTTGCAGTGAGCCAAGATCACACCACCGCACTCCAACCAGGGTGACAAGAGCAAAGCTCCATCTCAAAAAAAAAAAAAAGAAAAGAAAAGAAAGAAAACCAACTATAGTGTATAGTCATGTCTCACTTAACGATGGGAATATATTATGAGAAATCATCATTAGGTGATTTCATTGTTGTGGGACCATCATAGCGTGTACCTACACAAACCTAGATGGAGATGGTATAGCCCATTGCACACCTTGGCTATATGGTATGGCCCATTGCTCCCAGGCTACAAACCTGTATGGCATGTGACTCTACTGAACACTGTAGGCAGTTGTAACACAATGGTAAGTATTTGTGTATCTAAACATATCTAAATAAAAGGTACAGTAAAAGTATGGTATTATAATCTTATGGGACTACCATTATGTACATGGTCAGGCGTTGACTGAAACTTCATCACGTGGTACATGACTGTACCTACAAGAGCATAGGTAAATTTCAGAGATGTAATGGTGAATGAAAGCAGCCAAACACAACGGAACTTATACTGTATTATTTCCTTCCTGTAAAGTTCAAATGGGTAAAATTAAACCTATAATTTGTGCATGAATAATCAGATATCAAAGCTAGAATAAAAAGAAATTAATACGTAATCAAGATAGAATGTAAAACGAAGGAAAAGGGCAATGATCAGGAAAGAAAAAGCAGGGGGCTTTCAAATTGTCTTTCAAAATCAGAACATATAAACATATCTCATTTTTTTAAATAGTTCCTTTAACTGGATCTACCAAAATTGATCCCATTAATAAATAGTACCAGTTGATAAGCATTCTGATTTCCTCGGCTTTTTGCTATTTTCTTGACAATCCTCAAATGAGAATTCTTTTTTTTTTTCTTTCTTTTGAAACAGAGTCTTGCTCTGTCACCCAGGCTGGAGTGCGGTGATGCAATCTCGGCTCACTGCAACCTCCACCTCCCACGTTCAGTGATTCTCCTGCCTCAGCCTCCCGAATAGCTGGGACTACAGGTGCATGCCACCACACCCAGCTCATTTTTTATATTTTTAACAGAGACGGGGTTTCACCATATTGGCCAGGCTGGTCTTGAACTCCTGACCTCATGATCTGCCTGCCTTGGCCTCCCAAAGTGCTGGGATTACAGGCATAAGCCACCACGCCCAGCCTTGAAATGAGAATTATTGACATACTTTTTTGTGCATATTTTTGCAAATATATCTTTGGAATAAATTCAAGACATGAACTTGCTGGGGCAAGAGTTAGTGCATTTTAAATCCTGATGGGGTAATATCCAAATGATCTTCACTGTCTGTCTCGTCATCTGTGCTGCCATCAAATGTATACGAAAGTGCCTGTCTCCTCATATTGGTTATAGCTGAACTGTTTGTTTGTTTGTTTTAATCAGATAGGTTAAAAAACATCTCATTGTTTAAAATTGTATTTCATTACGACAACTCTTGAGCTTATTTTCATGTTTGTTGATTTTTTTTTTCTGTGAACGCTGGTCAGGGATCTAGATGGTTGAATTGAACATAGCTATTTCTGCATGGTTTACTGACTTTCACAGAGCAAAAAGTTAACTTAAAGGGATATGACGTGTTAAGTATAAAAATCAATGGATTGCATAATACAGCACAATGGGAAATTTAGTGACTGATTGGGACAAGAGAGGGCTTTGGACAGGAAGATGTGCCTAAGGTCATCCATGCTGTCTTGTCTCCAAAATTATGGCATCCTCCCCCACCTGCAGGCTCACCCCCTGCACCAATCCACCCTGGGGACCTAGGGGTGGCAGAATGCGATGGCAAAGACCTACAGTGGTCACGGATCCCCAGGGAGAATCCAATATGGCATGCCCATAATACATTAATTTGGATGAGCAAACTCCTTCTGTCATTCAACACTATCACTACCCTGAATGCCAGGCCTGGGAAAACACAGATGAAAAGATAAGGGTTCTGTTTGCGAAGGGCTTCAGTCTACTTAGAATACCTTTTTTCAACATGGGGCCAACAGAGTCCATTAGACATTCATTCTTGGGGCTTCCTTAAGTCAGAGCACACAAAAAACTAACCAAGTGTGGTAATAATGACCACCTCAGACATGACACTTAGTATGTGCCAACCATGCTCGCCCAGGGGCTTTGCATGTCCCTATTAGACTGTTCAACCCTCACAAGCACTTCGCAAGGGGAAGACTTGCCTAGGGTCACACAGACCCTGAATGGCAGGGCCAGACTTTGAATCCAGGCTGTACTCCTGCAGGATCTATTCTCCCTTTACTACATCATCCCCCATTTCTGAAAAGACAAACATACTGATGAGGACCAGGGACTAACGGGGTTTGTCCTTGGGTATTGTTGAAAAAACAGGAGAAAGGGGATACCGCAATAGGTGGCTGTGCTTCTTTGGCTCCTGAGAAGCAGGACCCAGTCTTCCTGGATCCCGCTAGGGTGCCATGGCACGTGCTGTGAACATATGCAGGGTGGGTAAATCCGAGGTCCCATAGTATGTCTCTGCCTTCATTCCCTAGACAGAAAAAAATTGGGATCTGGAGGGCTTTTTTAGTTCACATGATGAAAATACATGCGTCTATGTTAGATATAATCATTTGATCAGCAAAGATTTGTTTGGTTGAACGTAACGACTGACTCTATATTTTCATTTAGGAGCAGTTTTTTCTTCGAAAGCCTGGTCTGAAATATGTCACCTACGGAAATATTCGCGAGCGTGTTGAGTTAAGGAAACGACTGGGTTGCAAGTCATTTCAGTGGTATTTGGATAATGTCTTCCCAGAGTTGGAGGCATCTGTGAACAGCCTGTGAAAGGAAAACAAATCACTTTCATTAATAAAGGGTTAAAAGTCTCCTAGTCATTCAACATAGTGTCACAAGAGTGTAAGTTTGGAACATCGTGGAATTACGTGAAATGCAATTAAAAAAATATGACCAGACGTGAGTGCCTTTATTTTCCCTTCAATGAAAATTCTTGATACTTTGTTACTCATCTGCTACTGAATCTCTGAGGTGACAAGACCTTGAACATTAGAAAGGTAAGTGGTCACACAGTTACGACTCTATCATACAGCTGACTGAGTTAAAGTGCATTTGTTTACCACAGCCACCTGGCCCTGGTAGACTGTAGGGACTGCTTTCCCTTTGCCAACCCGGCTTCTGCCCCAGACAATCTGTCGCGATTGGCTTCTTAGGGAGCCATGCTCTCGTGACTTTGGCTGAGCTGCAGCAAGCTCCTTTCTTCCTGCCAGGGTAGATTCTGGTAACGACACCTTACTCAGCTGCATACCTGAACATCTGGCGTCCAGTCCACCTGCCTGGGTGTCTGGTCAGCTCTCCAGGCCAGCTTCCCCATCTGTTCCTGCCAGCCCTTCTGTCATCTGAAGATACTCCGTCTTCTGTGAGTCTCGCTCTGTCGCCAGGCTGGAGCATAGTGTTATAATCTCGGCTCACTGCAACCTCTGCCTCCCGGGTTCAAGCAATTCTCCTGCCTCAGCCTCCCAAGTACCTGGGATTACAGGCGCACACCACCATGCCCAGCTAATTTTTGTATTTTTAGTAGAGACAGGGTTTCACCATGTTGGCCAGGATGGTCTCGATCTTTTGACCTTGTGATCCGGCCGCCTCGGCCTCCCGAAGTGCTGGGATTACAGGCATGAGCCACCACGCCCGGCCAATTTTGCCTTTTTCATGTCTGTCTCCTCCTATGGCTCTGGCCTCCAGCTCTCCAGACACTTCTTGACTCTTGGTAAACTGTTTAGCTGGGATCAGGGAAGCAGCAGCTGGGTGACTTGTCTGTCCTGTGTAAACACATTCTCAGATGTCCAAAGTACTTCTTTGGCATCTTTGGAGTTAGACAGATCACTGTTGGTTTTACGCTGGTGATGGTGGCTAAGAAGGTGAAAGACACTGAATTCAGAAAGAGAGACAGATAATGAGAGAAGAAACACATTGAAAGGGGCAAAAAAAAAAAAAGTGGAAGAGAATAGTCTATGCTGGAAAGAAGGTAAGTTAGTTTTTACAGCAGAAAAACAATTTGAATCATCTATTGAGCTCCTTCAATCAGACAGGTATTCTTCTAGTTGCTGGGAATGAAGTTTTTTTTTTTTTTTTTTGCAGACAGAGTTTCACTCTTGTTGCCCAGGCTGGAGTGCAGTAGCCCGATCTCGGCTCACTGCAACCTCCACCTCCCGGGTTCAAGTGATTCTCATACCTCAGCCTCCCAAGTAGCTGGGATTACAGGCACCCACCACCATGCCCAACTAATTTTTGTATTTTTAGTAGAGATGTGGTTTCATCATGTTGGCCAGGCTGGTCTTGAACTCCTGACCTCAGGTGATCCACCCGCCTCGGCCTCCTAAAGTGCTGGGATTACAGGTGTGAGCTACTGCGCCCGGCCGCAAATAACCCCTTTATACCTATCTATTTAGCAAAATACTGCATAAAATCTATTGCTAGACAGACATGAGCTGATCTATTACAGACAGCCACTTGATTGATCCTTTAAAAGGTTGATCTGGCAGCACAAAACGAGTGCCACGCTTGATTGTATTCTTGGCCCATATATTATTTATACCTTTCCTGCCTCTAGAAAGTCATTTAAAAATTAATCATAATAAACCCATGAGTCTACTAAAATTATGATAAAATGCAAAACAGGCCAGGCGCGGTGGCTCACGTCTGTAATCCCAGCACTTTGGGAGGCTGAGGCGGGTGGATCACGAGATCAGGAGTTTGAGATCAGCCTGGCCAACATGGTGAAACCCGGTCTCTACTAAAAATACAAAAAAATTAGCTGGGCATGGTGGCGCACGCCTGTAATCCTAGCTACTCAGGAGGCTGAGGCAGGAGAATTGCTTGAACCTGGGAGGCAGAGGTTGCAGTGAGCTGAGATTGCACCACTGCACTCTAGCCTGGGCGACGGAGTGAGACTCCGTCAGGAAAAAAAAAAAAAAAGCAAAACAGAACCCGGCTCAGTGGCACGTGCCTGTAATCCCAGCTATTTGGGAGGCACAAGAATCGCTTGAACATGGGAGGTGGAGGTTGCAGTGAGCCGAGACCAAGACCAAGATCACACCACTGCACTCCAGCCTGGGTGACAGAGACTGTCTCAAAAAACAAACAAACAAAAAGCAAAATAGAAATCTTGTAGCTGAAAAAATAAAAGAGAATTATAGTAGTATAAATATGGAGTATCTTCTTAAAGTAACAGTTTTTTTCTAGTTGAAATTTGAGAATATATATATGTTATATATAATTATTATATGTAATATATAAATGATATATATGTAACATTAAAAAGTATATTTTTTTTCTGGTAAGCATAAAGAATGGATGCTGTAAATATCAGCTTTCCCAAAAGCAAAAGACAGGAGTGTTCTCTTTTGTTAAAAGCCGTGGGCCTAATATTAAGTCTTAGTTTTGTAATGTAATTTAGTTTAGGTACTAGATAACACAGATAAGTCCTAGAAATTGTTCAGCATGTCCCTTGGACAGTATCTTCTTAAATATTGCTTCAGTTGACCCTAAAATAGAAAAGAAATCAGAATCAATATCCAAATATTTGGTGTGATTAAAGGGAAATTGATACTTGCCTATAGATGGCAATTTTTTGTTTTTGTGTGGAAATTTAAAAATCTGATTTGTATTTTGAAGCTAGTTGAAAAGTATCTGGTAACCTGCTTAGGGTTTCTTACAAAACAGTTTTTGGTATGATGGAATGCTCAAACAAGTCTGAAATTAAGCCCAGGAGTTCTGTAACTAAAACATCCTTCTAGGAATTTATCCCAAGACACACCTGTATGAAACAACAACTAAGAAGAGCTGACATTTGCTGAGCTTTTACTACGTTTCATACTCTGTTATAAGTAGTCTGCATGGATTATCTCCTTTCATTCATACAACAACTTTATGAGTTCTACTGCTATCCTCATTTCATAGATGAGAAAACGATGGTTAGAATGTGCCCAGGTTAACGTTGCCCTATTTGGCTAATAAAAATACAGGATGCCTGGTTAAACTTGAATTTCAAATAGACAATAACATTTTACTGTACATATGGCTACATTCTGAATGTGTCTTCCATAATTCATGTTGAAACAACTGACAAAGCAACAGCACTACAGTTTGAATACCTTTTATCCCCACCAAAATTCATGTTGAGGCTTGGACCCCAGGGTAACAGTGTTGAGACAGAGTAGGACCTTTAAGAGGCATTTGAGCCATGAGGGACCAGCCCCCCATGAAAAGATTAACGCAGTCACTGAGAGTTCCCAGTCTCTTGAGACTGGATTAGGTACCTTGAGAGCGGGTTGTTAATAAGTAACATTGCCCCTTTAGCCAGTGCGCGCTTCCTCTTCCGATTCTCTGCCACGTTATGATGTAGCACAAAGCCCTCACCAGCAGCCTACCAGATACGGCTGCTGGATCTTGTACTTCCCAGCCTCCAGGAGAGTGGGAAAACAAATTTGTTTTTAAACTACCTAGTCTCAGGTATTTTATTATGGCAGCACAGATGAAGACAAGCCTCTCACATATTGCACAGGATATACTTAAACCACAAAATTATTCTTAATCTGGAATTCAAATTTCAGGCCATCCTGTATTTCATCTGGCAACTGTATCCAAGGACAAACAATAACACGGCCCTTACATGATCCTAATCAGCGTGGCCTCAAAGATTGTGTTTAACCAGAATGATACGCTGAAAAGAGCATTTTAGTGTCATTCTGTATGATAGTGAAAAATTGGAGCTAACCCAAATCCTCAATTACGAGAATAATGGTTAAGTAATTATTGCACATTAATCAGGTAGAATAGTATTTAAAGTAATAAACAGATGCATCTCATACTCATCAGGTTGGCAAATATTTAAATATCTGATACTATCAAGGGTCAGGAGAAGATGAAACAATGGAAATTTACATGCCCTGATTAATCCTAGAGCATGATTTCAAATGTTAATTTGTGTATAAATCACCTGGAAATCTTGGTAAAAATGCAGATTTTAATTAAGTAGGTGGAGCACAAGACTCCCCATTTCTAACACACTCCAGGTGACGTTGGTGTCGCTTGTTGCTGGACCACCATTTGAGTAGTGAGGCCCTAAAGGTCTGGTCTTCAAACTCTTTTGCTTGAGTATATACTAAAATAATAAGGTTTAAATACAAGAACTTAGTATCCCCTTATACATATTTAAGGTGATATTTAACATTTTTCATTACTAGTTTAGGTAGTTGGAAGGATTACTTTCTGGAAACATATTTATGTATTTAAATAAACTTGTAATACACTTTTAAATATACCTAGTAGACTTTGCCCTAGTTTGCCTGCCACTGCTGTGAATAGTTTCTGAGGGGGATCCCAGCAGGATTGATCCCCAATGACGCTTATTTGATATTATACTATGTATATTTTACATGAGCTGCAACCATTGAAGGAAACTGGGCAAAGATACCTGTGTGCTGTCTGCACTGCCCTTGCAAGAGAAACCAGTACCTGAAATATCTGTCAATCTCCAATCAAGACACAAGCATGGTAGAAGGAGTCAAAAGCATTCAACTTGGCACCCAGCAGCAGTTCTCTTTGGCTGAGGGAAGTGGCCACAAGACTCAGCTGGGGGCCATCAGCGGCCTACACACCCAACAACTGGAGAAATGAGTCCTCAGTCCTTAAGGGGAAACCTGGGTGGTACAACATGGCATCCCCTACACCCTGACAACCCCATGGGGTATCTGTGGAAGAGGGGCTGGGGAATGTGGTTAGCTCAGTTCAGCTCAAGAAGGCCACTACTTTGGTTCAGGTGGTGCTCTTTAATTTATAGTAGCTGTAGAAGTTCCTCCATTGCTACGCGTGTACCCCATCAGACTTTAATTGTGAAGCAATGAGTTCTTTAAAAAAGTTCAAAAATATTCTTAACCAAGTGGGATTTATTTCAGAAATGCAAAGAAGATTAGTATTAAGATATTCTTCAATATAACTTGGCATTATTGGCCAAAGATGAATGCCCACACCATTTTTCTTAAAAATTGCCAATTCCCCTTTTATGGTATTTGTATACATTGCACTATTATCACCAAGGTATGAGTGTTTTTTTCACCACTTCTCTCTTTACACCTTAATCTACATTTTCTTCTATCACAAGTGGCGTTTAACTTCTTTTAATATGTTTAAGGGCATTTGTCTTTTTTTTTTTTTTTCACTTATGGGGTCTCGCTGTATTGCCCAGGCTGGAGGGCAGTGGCTATTCACAGGCGCGATCCCGCTACCGATCAGCACAGGAGTTTTGCCCTGCCCGGTTTCCGAGCTGGGCCAGTTCCCCACTCCTTGGGGAACCTGGTGGTCCCTGCTCCCGGGAGGTCACCACACCGATGCGGAACACAGATGCGTGTCGCCGCGCAATGGGCACAGCGCATACAGCGCAGAGCTCCCGGGCTCAAGCGCTGCTCCCGCCTCAGCCTCCGGAGTAGCCGGGGCCACAGGCAGGGCATTTGTCATTAATGGGGTCTTTTGAGACCGCGGGTGACAGACAACAGGAGCCAGGCCACGCGCGGCGCCTCTGCGCGAACGCTAGGGAGGACTCAGCGCGCGGCGGCCGGTGACGTCAGGGCAGCGAGAGGTTTCGTCACCGCGGCGCGGGGGCGGGGCCGCCTGTCACGCGGCGCCGGCGGACGCGCGGCGCTGGGCGGAGGCAGCGGCTCGGGGACTGGGCGAGGGCCCTGGGCCTGAGGAGGCGCGGCCGCCACTGCGCCCAGCGCCTGCGCGACGCCTGGCTGCTGGGCCCCGGGGCAGTTCAGCCCGCGCCGCTCCTGCGGGTCGGACTGGGGCTGTGGCGGGAGAGAAGATGCCGCAGCCCGAGTCCCAGAAGGCGGCGATCCTGGGCTGCGGGCAAGGCGGTGAGTACCCTCTAGGCGGCGGCCTCCCGGCGTCCCTCAGCACCTCGAGAGCTGCGGCGGCGGCGGCGCGCGGGGCCTGGGCAGGCTGGGGGCGGCGGCGGGGCAGCGCCTGGCTCCCCGCGGGTCCTGGGCTCCCGCACGCCCCCTGGGCGAGGCTCGTGTCTCCGGGAGACGCCGCTGCCCCCGCGCCTCCCCCAGCGTCTCCTGAGGCTTGTTCGCGGGCGTGGGGGCGAGGACCAGGGCGCTGGCCTCGTTTTCGCGTATTTAGGACGGAGGCACACCTGATCCTGCAGCCTCCCCCAGCATTTCCTAAAATGAAGTCCAGATCAGTATTGTCCACTTTTTAAAATTAAAAGTGCCCAGAAATAGAATAGTTCACACATACACAAAACTAGGGAGAATAGTGTGGAAGGAAATTTAATCTCGGGACCCCAAATCACTAAGCCAAAGTCAAGCTGGGAGCTGCGTCAGGCAAACCTGCCCCTAAGTTTTGTTCCTAAGACAGCTGCAAAGATAAAAAGCCACACAGCTCCCTCACCCTTTGGCCAGGAGGAAATTCGCTGTGGACCTCCACATCTTTACCCTGAAACAGTTGTGTGGAATTGCACCCTGGCAGTGTAAATTGACAGCTTGTCTTCGCAGGTGAGGAACAGGGACAGAACTCAAGTCATCCTTCTGCTCACCTGAGACAGATGCATGTCTGACGGCTTCCTCTGCCCTGTATTTATGTAAAAATGCAGATTCACTGAGCCAGACTAAGGCACAAGTGGCTATTCCTCTGCCTGCCCCATGGCGTAAATTGTGTGTTCAGTAAAAGGCAGAGCAGAGGCTCAAAAGAATGTAGCCGTTTGTCTCTCATCTTACCCATGACCTGGAAGCCGCCACTTTGAGTTGTCCCACCTTTCCTGCCCGAACTAGTCTATACCTGTATTTGATTGAAGACTCATGTTCCCCTACAATGTATAAAACTAGGCTGTGCCCCCACCACCTTGGGTACATGCTCTCAGGATCTCTTGAGGGCAGTGTCATGGGCCATAGACACTCATTTCGCTCAGAATAAATCTCTTTAAAAATTTTTTTATTAGCCGGGTGCGGTGGCTCACGCCTGTAATCCCAGCACTTTGGAAGGCCAAGGCGAGCGGATCACGAGGTCAGGAGATCAAGACCATCCTGGCTAACACGGTGAAATCCCGTCTCTACTAAAAATACAAAAAATAAGCCGGGCGTGGTGGCAGGCGCCTGTAATCCCAGCTACTTGGGAGGCTGAGGCAGGAGAATGGCGTGAATCGAGGAGGCAGAGCTTGCAGTGAGCCGAGATCACGCCACTGCACTCCATCCTGGGTGACAGAGCGAGACTCCATCTCAAAAAAATTTATTTTTAATTTTTGTGGGTACATAGTAGGCATATGTATTTATAGGTACATGAGATATTTGATATGGCATAGAATGCATAATCACATCAGGATAAGCAGGGTATCCATCTTCTCAAGCATTTATCCTTTGTTAGTGCTACAAACAACCTGCAAGGCTCTTGTATTGGTTTGAACCCCGATGACGCACCAACAACCCCCACGACATGAGGCGGTGTGGAGCAACATGCTGTTTTAATAAGCGCCTGGGTGCAGACGGGTTTATGCCTAAATGGCATCAGCCCCAAGTGAGGAATGGGTTTTATAATAGCATCAGCCCCAAGTGAGGAAGGGGTTTTATAGTCCTCTGTAAGCAGGAAGTGTCCCAGTCTGACGTGGCTGCTGCGTAAATGTGTCCGGAATTGGTTCCTTCCAGTGGATTCTTGGTCTCGCTGACTTCAAGAATGAAGCCACGGACTGTCGCGGTGAGTGTTACAGTTCTTAAAGATGGTATGTCGAGAGTTTGTTCCTTCTGATGTTCAGATGTGTCCAGAGTTTCTTCCTTCTGGTGGGTTCGTGGTCTTGCTGACTTCAGGGATGAAGCCGCAGACCTTTGCAGTGAGTGTTACAGCTCTTAAAGGTGGCACGTCTGGAGTTGTTTTTTCCTCCCAGTGGGTTCATGAGCTCACTGACTTCAGGAGTCAACCTGCAGACCTTCGCAGTGAGTGTTACAGGTCTTAAAGGTGGCATGTCGAGAGTTGTTTGTTCCTCGCAGTAGGTTTGTGGTCTCACTGACTTCAGGAGTGAAGCCACAGACCTTCACAGTCAGTGTTACAGCTCATAAAGTTAGTGCAGACCCAAAGAGTGAGCAGCAGCAAGATTTATTGCAAAGAATGAAAGAGCAAAGCTTCCACAGCATGGAAGGGGACCCGAGCAGGTTGCCGCTGCTGGCTCCAGTGGCCTGCTTTTATTCCCTTATTTGGCCCCACCCACATCCTGCTGATTGGTCCATTTTACAGAGAGCTGATTAGTCCATTTTAGAGTGCTGATTGCTCTGTTTTACAGAGTGCTGATTGGTCTGTTTTACAGAGTGCTAATTGGTCGGTTTTTACAGAGTGCTGATTGGTGCGTTTACAAACCTTTAGCTAGACACAGAGCGCTGATTGGTGCATTTACAATCCTTTAGCTAGACAGAAAAGTTCTCCAAGTCTGCTACCCAGTTAGCTAGTCACAGAGCACTGATTGGTGCATTTACAATCCTTTAGCTAGACTGAAAAGTTCTCCAAGTCCCCTACCCGATTAGCTAGACACAGAGCACTGATTGGTGTGTTTACAAACCTTTAGCTAGACACAGAGCCCTGATTGGTGCATTTACAATCCTTTAGACAGAGTAGTTCTCCAAGTCCCCACCCGACCCAGAAGCACAGCCAGCTTCACCTCTCAATCCCCCCCCTCTAAACAGGACACCCCAACTGCTGTTGGGAATTTGGCCAATGACTGCTGTAGCTACTTCCTGCTGGATAGGGGTGAAGAAGGGGCCCTGCAATTGTAGTGTCCTCCAGAGGGGAACTCTTTAGGCCAGTGAAAGGGCCAGCAGGTTGGTCCAGGGGTCCTGGTAGAAGTTTAGTTGAGCTCATTTGGAGTTCCATTTGTAAGACCATCTGTAGCTTGATGGTCTCAATTCTAGAGGAAACAAATTTGAAAAGGAGGTTAAAAATACAGGGCCCGAAGGCAAGTAATAGCAAGATGGCTGCCACAGGACCTAGAAAGGGGAGAAGCCATGTTGTCCAACTCCAGAGGTTGGTGTAAGAGTTTGAAAGGCGTCTGATTTCAGAAGCCTTTTCCTATAAATGTTGGGTGGCATCTCATACTATCCCTGACTGGTTAGTGTAAAAACAACACTCTTCCCCTAAGAAGGTGCAGAGTCCTCCTTTCTCAGCAGTGAGGAGGTCTAGGCCTCGGTGGTTTTGGAGAGTCATTGCTGCCAAAGAGTCTATTTGGAATTGTAGTTACTATCCTTACTGGATAGATTTTGTTATTTCTTGCAAACTCTCTTGAGAAATCCTTTGAGAGTGTGGTAGTAGGATAATGAAGTAGGTAAACTGGCTATTCCAGTTCCTGTAGCAGTGGCCATTTCTAACCCTATAGGTAGGGGTATTAGTTGTATGGCTCTGCACTGACGGACTTGAGCTTTGAGGGGTACTGATAGGGTCTGATTTCCACAAGATTAGAAGTTAGAATAATATATGTTTACACTGTTAACTTTTAGCAAACTTTACTTTTGTTGAAAACCTTGTAAGTTTGGGATTTCAATTATTCTTTGCTATTAATAAGACCTCGTTCAGTCCATATTAACTTAGAATTGATATAGATGGCTCCTTCCTGATTCTGTAAGTACTTTAAGGTTTGGCTGAGTGCAAACAGCTCGCACATTTGAGCAAACCAATTATTAGGCAGTTTTCCTAACTCTGCTTCTACAGTTCCCTTATCATTTACTGAATACCCCTTGTGTCTTTTTTCCTTAATCACCCAGGAGGAACCATCTATGGTCCTGTCCTGAAGGGAGTTCCTCCTAGATCTGGTCGGACCTTTGTATGGTAGTTAGTTAAGATTTAGATCCCCTGTTAGGAAACCTGCTGGGTTAAGGATTTTTGATAGGAAGGCTATGGGTTGTCAGTGGCCTCAGTGCTTTTGGGCTACGCCCTTGTTTACACTGACAACAAGGTGGTATTGGAGTGTTACAGAGTTACAGAGAAGGCCTTCAATTATCAGTTATAGGTTTTAACTTTACTGTGGCTTTTAAAGGAATAGGGTGTAGGGTCCAGCCCCACAGGGTCGGTGGGTTTTTTCCCCGTGTGCGGAGACGAGAGAGTGTAGAAATAAAGACACAAGACAGAGATAAAAGAAAAGACAAGAGGTAGAGGAGTAGAGTCTTCTGTAAACTCCCACGGGGAAAGGGAGACTCCCTTTCCTGGTCTGCTAAGTAGCGGGTGTTTTTCCTTGACACTGATGCTACCGCTAGATCACGGGACGCTGGTGTTACCACTAGACCAAGGAGCCCTCTGGTGGCCCTGTCCGAGCATAACAGAAGCCTCAACTCTTGTCTTCTGGTCACTTCTCACTATGTCCCCTCAGCTCCTATCCCTGTATGGCCTGGTTTTTCCTAGGTTATGATTGTAGAGTGAAGATTATTATAATATTGGAATAAAGAGTAATTGCTACAAACTAATGATTAATGATATTCATATATAATCATCTCTATGATCTATATTTAGTATAACTTCTTATTTTATATATTTTATACTGGAACAGCTCGTGCCCTCAGTCTCTTGCCTCGGCACCTGGGTGGCTTGCCGCCCACAATAGGGTACACTGTTTTTTCTTTACTACTTCTATCTCTCTTTCTCTTTGATGACTTCTTTGTCTCTCTGAGTCCCTCTTTGTCTGTCTCTTCCTCTCTCTCTTTGCCTTTCTATGTCTCTCTCTCTGACTCTCTCTTTGTCTCTGTCTCTTTGACTTTGTCTCTTTCTTTCTCTCTGACTCCTTTGTCTCTCACTTCCTCTCTCTGTGTCTCTCTCTGATTTTCTGTTTCTTTCTCTCTTTCCTTTCTGCTGGTCTTTCCCTTCCTCTGCCAGCCACTTATGCTGCTGTTCTCCCCTCTCCTTCCCGTTTTGATGGCTTTGGCAGTGTAAGACTGCCACCTCCTTGGGTTTTTGCACTGCATGCAATAACTCCATGGTTTCCTTGTGGTATTTAATGGGGGTTCCCCCAGAGGTTAGAAACTCCCTTTCTTTCCATATTGCAGCACAGGCATGTAGGATTAGATAAGCATACTTGCTACCTGTATACACATTTATTCTTTTTCCCTTTCCCAGTTCTAAGGCTCAGGTAAGTGCCACTAGTTCTCCTGACTGGGTGCTGGTCCTTGGGGGAGGAGGCTTACTTTCAAGTACGGTTACGTCACTAACTATGGCATAACCTGCCCTTCGTATCCCATTCTCCACAAATGAACTTCTGTTGGTATATAGATTAAGGTCAGGATTAGCTAAGGGGACTTATAAGAGGTCATCTCAGGCAGCATAAGTCTGGACTATAATTTGTTGGCAGTCATGCTCGATTGGTTCCCCATCCTCTGGGAGAAAAGTGGCAGGGTTGAGGGCCACGCATGTATGTATTTGAAGCACCGGTCCCTCAAGGAGTAGTGCCTGGTATCTAAGTAGGTGGTTGTCTGATAGCCATAAACTCCCTTTGGCACTTACTATGCCATTTACATCATGAGTAGTCCAGACAGTGAGATCCTTTCCTTGTATTATTTTGATAGCCTCTGACACTAGGATGGGTACTGCTGCAACTACCCTTAAACAGTGAGGCCAGCCTTTTGCTACTACATCAATTTCCTTACCTAGGTGTGCCACCAGTTGTCAGACACGAGTCTGAGTAAGGACTCCAAGAGCTATCCCTGCTCTCTCTGTGATGTATAAAGAGAAGTTTTGTCCTGTGGGAAGGCTTAAAGCTGGAGCTTGTACTAGGGCCTGCTTTAAGGTTTTGAAGGCTGTTTCTGCCTCTGGTTCCCATTCTACTAGATGAGTATTTGCCCTCTGGGTCTCCTTGATTAGAGTATAGAGGGGCCTGGCTATCTTGCTCTATCTGGGGATCCATAGTTGGCAAAAGCGGTGATTTGAAGGAACCCCCACAACTGTTTTAAAGTCTTAGGGTGAGGATAAGCCAGTATAGGCTGTATTCGTTCCTTGCCAAGGGTCCTGGTCCCTCTGGCTAAGATTAGGCCTAGATATTTGACCTGCTGTAGGCAAAGCTGGGCCTTTGACCTAGATGCCTTGTACCCTTGATTAGCTAGAAAATTCAAGAGATCTAGAGTAGCCTGCTGGCATGAGGCTTCCGAACTGGTAGCCAAAAGTAAATCATCCACATACTGAAGGACCAGAGTGCCTGGACTTGAGAAGTGGCCTAGATCTTGGGCCAGTGCCTGACCAAACAGATGAGGGCTATCCCTAAACCCTTGGGGCAAGACGGTCCATATAAGTTGGGATGTGTGGTCTGTGGGATCCTCAAAGGCAAAGAGAAACTGGGAGTCATGGGAGTCATAGTGCAGGGGAATACAGAAGAAGGCATCCTTGAGGTCCAGAACAGGGAACCATTCTGCTTCCTCTGGTATTTGAGAGAGCAGGGTATAGGGGTTGGGTACAACTGGATATAGAGGAATTACTGCCTCACTGATGAGTCTAAGATCTTGCACTAGACTCCACTGACCGTTCGGTTTTTGTACTCCTAGAATTGGGGTGTTGCAGGGACTGCTGCATTTCTTTACTAAGCCTTGAGCTTTTACATGTTTAACAATATCCTGTAATCCTTTATGAGCTTCAGGCCTTAAGGGATATTGCCTTTGATAAGGAAATGTGGTGGGATCTTTTAACCTGATTTGGACTGGGCAGGCATTTTTTGCCCTTCCAAATTGTCCTTCCAATGCCCAGACTTCAAGGTAGATTCCTTCCTCAAGTAGGTGACACCAAATGGGTAACTTGTTCCCCATATTCATGTAGATAATAGCTCCAGCTTTGGCTAACATATCCCTCCCTAATAAGGGTGTGGGACTTTCAGGCGTGACAAGAAAGGTGTGTGAAAAGAGCAAAGTCTCCCAATTACAACTGAGAAGGTGGGAGAAATACCTGGTTACAGGCTGTCCCAGGATTCCTCGGATGGTAATGGACCTTGAGGACAGTCGTCCGGGACAGGAGATTAACACTGAGAAGGCCACGCCAGTGTCCAGGAGGAAGTCAATTTCCTGGCCTTCAATGGTTAAATGTACCCGGGGCTCAGTGAGGGTGATGACATGAGCTGGCGCTTGCCCGAGGCACCCTCAAGTCCTGTTGTTGGATCATCTGGTTGGGGGCTTCTGACCCAGAGAACCTTTGTCCTCCGGGGCAGTGCGCCTTCCAGTGATTGCCTCGGCATAGCGGACATGGATGAGGGGGTGGCTTGTTTCTCGTTGGACAATCTTTTTTAAAATGTCTTTGTAAACCACACTGATAACAAGCCCTACCGGGTGATTGGCCTGCTCCATTTTCTGTCCTTTCTGAACCACCAAAGGTTTGTTTGTCTGAGGGCCATGACTAAGGCTGCAGCCTTTCTCTGATCTCGCTTTTCCTTTTGGGCCTGTTCCTCTTGGTCCCTATTATAGAACACCAAGGTTGCCAGGTTTAATAATGCCTCCAGATTTTGTTCAGGGCCCAGGGCTTGCTTTTGGAGCTTTCTCCTGATATCCACGGCTGATTGGGTAACAAACTTATATTTTACAATCAATTGACTCTCAAGTGAGTCTGGTGACAGGGGAGTACATTTTCTTAAGGCCTCCTGTAGCCACTTAAGGAAGGCAGAAGGATTTTCTTCCTTTCCTTGAGTTATGGTAGACATCATTGAATAATTCATGGGCTTTTTCCTAATTCTCCTTAGTCCTTCTAGAACACAGGTCAACAGATGTTTACGACTCCAGTCCCCATGATCTGAGTCAAGGTCCCAGTGGGGATCCATACTGGGGATGGCTTGCTTACCAGTAGGGAATTTGTCCCTTTCTTCAGCTGTCATTCTGCCATTTACTTGACTAAGGTACCAGGTATCTCCAAACTCTCAGGCTGCAGCTAAAGCCGCATTCTTTTCATTAAAGGCCTGGGTTTGATCTAACAGTAGCATGACATCTCTCCAAGTGACATCGAAGGTTTGCCCTAGACCATGTAGGACATCTGTGTACCTATCAGGATCATCTGAAAACTTACCCAGGTCTGCCTTGATCTGCTTTAAATCAGAGAGGGAGAAAGGGACATGTACCCTAGTTGGGTCAAATTCCCTCTCCCTACAACTTGAAGGGGACATAACCGATAGCCCAGGGGTT